>NC_000003.12:124463149-124614664 GCF_000001405.40 Homo sapiens | reverse complement strand
CAGGAGGTTGAGGCTGCAGTGAGCCATGATTGTGCCACTACATTCCAGCCTGGGTGACATGGTGACACAGCAACACCCTGTCTCTGAAAAAAAAAAAAAGAAAAAAGCCAGGTGCAGTGGCTCATGCCTGTAATCCCAACACTTCAGGAGGCTGAGGTGGGCAGATCCCTTAAGTCTAGGAGTTTGAGACCAGTCTGGGCAACATGGCGAAACTCTGTTTCTGTAAAAATTAGTCAGGCATAGTGGTACATGCCTGTAGTCCCAGCTACTTGAGAGGCTGAGGTGGGAGGGTTGATTGAGCCCGGAAGGTCGAGGCTGCATTGAGCCGTGATCGAGCCACTGCCCTCCAGCCAAGGAAACAGAGTGAGACCCTGTCTCAATAAATAAATAAATAAATAAATAAATAAATAAATAAATAAATAAGAATTTTAGAAAAAGAAAGTGGTAATTACACTAAAGACTAGAACTAGGTTTTGTTAACATTTTATAAGCTATGCTTTAACATTCTATTTAAAGTTCATTTTAGCCTTTGTGGGCACACAAAATCCATCCAGTTGAAGTTTTCACGTGAAACAGAGATTCCCAAGTGAGGATTCTGAAAGCTAGTCTGAGGCCAGGTTTATACTCAACCCATGAGTCTCTTCTATAGATCTCAAATTGTCACTGAAAATGGTGTTGGAGGTTTTTGGGGAGACATAAATCCAGGCTGGCTCTGTAACTACCCAAATATGTTACTAATAAATACAGAAAGATCATCAGGACATAGAACACTGGCTGCTCTTGAGTCTTGAGTATGGGAGCTGACCAGCTGGAAAGGCCACAGGCTGAAGAATGGAAACAGAATTCTAGGACCCTAGTAGACAGTGAGGCACTTCCAGTCTCATGAATCAAATTTAACAACATTAAAGGCAGGAGAAATGGCAAGTAGGTGATGAGAGAATAGATCAGTGAGAACCTTAGAAGCTCAAATGTTGGCTTCTAGTTTAGAAAACACTGATTTAGGTTACCTAACTGTTGTAGCAAGTAATAAGCCTTCAACTCAAGAGCTGGGTAGAGAGGCTGGATTTGAAAGATGACACAAGACCCTGGACAGATCACTTCCCAATTATAACATGTAGGTTATTTGCATAATTGGGACCAGAAACTCCCTTTAGCAAGCATCCCCTGCCTTTGGGCAGATAAAACAAACTGATATCTTGCCCTGTTGCCATGAGCCTAATCCTGAGACTTACTAGCAGTATTTCAACTTTCCTTCAATCAGGAAAAACATCCAATGTACCCACTAAGCTGCTAGAGAAAGGGGCACTTATTCACCTAGGGCAAGAGTCAAAGCTCAGATGTCTTCAGAGACCAACGGATAAGGCAAACATGAAAAGATGGACACGGAACAATCAGGAGAGGTATGGGCTGTGTCAAACTGGGAAGTGTAAATCTGCTGGGGAGTGTAAGACATATTTTTTTTTTAAAGGAGGCAACCACTCTGCTGCCAAATACTATACATCTGGGACCAAAGGCCCAAAGATTGCTACTCTGCCTTGCTTGCCTAATGGTGGCAAGGCCACTTTTCCTTTACTATAGCTAAAACCCCTGGCTCCATGATCAGCAATGATTGGTATGGAATGTCACCAGTACTACAGGCATCCCTGCAGATATCCTTTGCAGAGAAAATACTCAATCAGACTATTTCCATAAGAATGCCCTTTTCCTGGAGCTTGCCTAGACCTTGCATCATTATAATGTCTCTTGTATTATTTAAGTGGGGATCCCATAGGCTCGATTTATATAACATTTTATATTTGAAGATACTACTTTATTATTCGTTCATTCAACACATGCTTGTTGAGTGCTTCCTATATGCCAGGAGCTGTTCCTGATGCTGAGCTATAGCAAGTGTAGGAGACAGACAAAGTCGCTGAAATTAGAAACTTGTCATTCTAGTTAGGGTAGAGAGGGAGTCAGATAAGAAACTAACAAATGAATGAGAAAAATTTCCAGTAGTATTGAACAGTTTTAAAGAATTAAACTGACGGCTGGGCTCGACGGCTCACATCTGTAATCCCAGCACTTTGGTAGGATGAGGCGGGCAGATCACCTGAGGTGAGGAGTTCAAGACCAGCCTGGCCAACATGGTGAAACCCCATCTCTATTAAAAATACAAAAATTGCTGGGCGCGGTGGCTCACGCCTGTAATCCCAGCACTTTGGGAGGCCGAGGCAGGTGGATCACCTAAGGTCAGGAGTTCGAGACCAGCCTGACCAACATGGAGAAACCCCATGTCTACTAAAAATACAAAATTAGCTGGGCATGGTGGCACATGCCTGTAATCCCAGCTACTTGGGAGGCTGAGGCAGGAGAATTGCTTGAATCCGGGAGGCAGAGGTTGTGGTGAGCCGAGATCATGCCATTGCACTCCAGCCTGGGTAATAAGAGCAAAACTCCGTCTCAAAAAATAAAAATTAAAAAAATTAAAAAATTAGCTGGATGTGGTGGTGCATGCCTGTAATCCCAGCTACTTGGGAGGCTGAGGCAGGAGAATCGCTTGAACCTGTGAGGCAGAGGCTGCAGTAAGCTGAGATTGTGCCATTGCCCTCCAGCCTGAGCTACAAGAGCGAGACTCCATCACAAAACAAAACAAAACAAAAAACACTGACTAATGGGCTAGAGAGGGCCTGAGGACTTCTTCAGAATGAGTAGCTGGTGACAGTTCTCTGAGAAGTGACATTTAAGCTGAGACCTGAATGATGGGAGTGAACCAGCCACATGAAGACGGAAATAAGGCTTTCTACCAAGGTCATAGACTATGCAGAAATCCTAAGGCAGAAACGAGTTTGGGATGTTCAAGCTTCCTGAAGGAAGTTCTTGTGGCTGGAGCGCAGCTGGTGGGTGAAGGGACATGAAATGCAGTTGGAAAGTAGGCAGGGCCTAGAACCACAGCCTTGCAGGGCACAGCAGGAAGCTGGACTTTATCCCCAATGCAATGGGAAGCCACTGGAGTGTTTTAAAAGGGGCCGGGGTGTGACATAGGTGATGCAATAGGATTCATTTTCATTGACAATCTTTAATTTCTGACCACTCTATGTTATATAGCCAGATAAATCTCCCTCCAACTAGAATCACCTTTGCACCAAGAATCACCTTTTCTTCTAGTGATGAGTAACAGATATGGGGAGAAACAGCTTACTACATATGGATGAATAGGAACCATCAGGATATTCAAATCTGGTCTCTGGACAAAACACTCCATATCCAGCTCACACATACAAGGCCATCCTATGCCTCCTTACTATCTGCTCATATTTCCCACACCAACAAGTCACCTGGTATCTCAACTTAATTCTTTCTGCTATGGTCTAGGGTGTGTTGACACAGTTTTAGGTAACATTATCAATGAGAAATGCTCCCATCTCTGATGTTACTTCTCTCTCTACCTAGGCGGTCCTTCCCCAGATCCCACAGAGCCCATTCTCTCTCTTGCTTCAGGTCATTACTAAAAGGCTGCCTTATCAGCACAGCCTTCCCTGATACCCTATTGAGAACTACAACACCCACCTCCACATGCTGCCACTCTGATTCCCTAGCCCTGTTACCTTCTCTATAGCACTTACTGCCATCTAGCCAACTGTATTGTTTCTTTATTTTTTGAGACAGGGTATCACTCTGTTGCCCAGGCTGGAGTGCAGTGGCATGCCTGGTTCACTGCAGTCTCGATCTCCCAGGCTCAAGCAATCCTCCCACCACAGCTTCCCAGTAATTGGGACCACAGTGTGCGCCACCACACCTGGCTAATTTTCTTTTCTTCTTTTCTTTTCTTTTTTTTGTAGGGACGGGGTCCTACTATGTTGCCTAGGCTAATCTCAAATTCCTAGGCTCCAGCCATCCTCCTGCCTCAGCCTCCCAAAGTGCTGGGCTTACAGTTGTAAGCCACCCTGCCTAGTCAAGCCAATTGTATTCACCATGTCTTTTTATTTCCTGTATTATTTGCTTTGATATCTGGGGTATTGCTGATCCTGGAGGGATAGCCGCCCCCCCCAGGGTTAGTTAATATCTAGAGAGAGGCGACACCTTTCCTATGCAAACCCACCAATCCAGAGCCCACACCCCCAACCACCCTCTTTATCAAGCTTTCATTTTTGGGCCAATATCCACCTGCCCTAATCACCCCAGGACCAGGTATCAGACAACTAGGGACAACCCCTTGTCCCCCCAGAGCCCTCTACAATTACTCAAACTAGCCAGTCCTAAACCTGCTTACCTTGCCTCACCTCTTAAAGACTCCAGCCCCCTAGTTCCTTTTCTCTCTTTGCCTGCATGCAACTTCAGTGTTTTCTTCTGTGGCCCGGTGTGGGATGCCCCATCCTCTTGGGGAACTGTGAGTAATAGACTATCTTTTCAGTCACCTCCTCATCTGTTGGCATGACTGAATTTCAAATTTCTATTAATATTAATGTACTATATTTAAAAATACTTACTATGAAATTTATTTCTTATTTGTTGCTCCTACTCTCCTCACTAAAAGCTCCATGAAGGCAGGGAATTTTTTTCCCCTGTTTTTGTTCATTGTTGTGCTTCTAGCAGCTAAAAGAGTGCTTAGCACAGAACTAAAGCACTCAATAAACATTTGTTGGGGAAAAAAGATTTCATAGAAAGTGCTCAGTAAATATGTTCTAAATATTAAATGAATAAAAAGGAAGCCAAGATGCCTGTTTCTGTGTGCATGGATGAATACAGAAGCCAAGTGTAGAGTGAGGTGACCTTGGGATTTGAGTTCCAGTTCTACCTCTTTACCTTTCTGAACCTCAGTTTACTCATCTATAAAATGAGGATAACTACCACCCACCTCTGAGATAACAATACTTACTTAACCCAATAGTGACAGCTTATTATATGACAATAAATGGCAATGACAGTAATGACTATTAAATGGCAGTGAACAGTATTGTGTTGTAATACAGCAATGGCTGTGAGGCCTCAAGCCTGCAAGACAGCCAGCCCTCATCCTCAGACTGCAATGCCTTGAGTCATCTGCCGGAATGGATTCACTCTCATTTTCCTTCCCAGGCAGCAACAAAGGGAGAATGCACGTCTCTCTTCTAAGCAGATTTAAAGCGCTCTATGCCCTTTACCCACTTTTATAACCTACTACTCATCAGTCACAGATGCAGAAGGATCCTAGCTAGTGCAAATACATGTATACACTCATAGGTGTGTCTGGCAAGCATGAACACATGAGTTGCATGACATACTTAGGACTTCCACAAACTCAGGTCAGAGACCCCCAAACTATCAGGCTCACATGGAAGAGGGGATTTATGTGGCTGATAACATCACCCACCCATTTCTTATGCCAAAGTAGGAAGTACTCCATGACCTCAACAGATAAAAACACTTAGACCAACAGGAGGACTTAGTTTAAAAAGTCAGGATTTCAAAAGTAATATATAAGCATTACAGGAAAAAAAAAATTGAGGAAAAAGAAAAGTTTCTGTAATCCACCTATTTTGTGACCTTTAACACTTCAGAACATTTCCCAAATCTTTGTGTAGCTGTGTGCACATGTATACCTGTAAAGCAGTATATTTGTTGAATAAATGAACAAAACTCAAGCCCACATGACCTTTCTTCAGTCCGCTGACCCTTTGGCTAAGTCTCAGAGTTCCAGGCTGCCTGAATGCTGCTAAGGTACCTTTCATGGTACCTTCAGTGCTAGGCCAGGCCTCAGGCTCCCAGCGCTCAAGAAAAGGAGTACAGTAAAAGCAGCACTGGGCCACACAAAGAACCCCACGTATGATTTCCAGCTTAACTCTTAACTTGCTGCATGATCTTAGGTAAAACCCAATCTTGCTGGCTTTCAATGTACTAATCTGTCAAGTGGAAGAACAACTCTAGATTATCCTTACCAGCACTTTCACCTTTAAACCTTGGAAATACAGAAGATTCAGTTATGTGTTCTAAGCAGACTTTTAAATGCCATTACTGCAGGGGAGGGCCACCATTGCAAATCCTGGTCTTTGTTCCCAACTCTTGGGCAGGCCTGCAGCAGAAAAGGCAGCTCCCAGAAGCCAGAATTAGAACCTGAGCTAGGGAGAAGCAAAAACATACGGTCCACAGACTATCAGGAGGGAGGGGAAGAAGGGAGACAGGATGCTGTAAGTTCTCCGCTGACTTCCAGCAACTAGTCTCTGGGTGCTTGGGCCTTGGTTCAGCTGCCCTCTACTTATCAGTACTCTTCCTGAGGAGACAGAGCGAGGACTCATCTGCTCTTCATGGCCCTTGAAAAATTTACTATCTATTCTAGAGACTTAAAGTGTGTGAATTTGTAATAAACATTTAAAGGTTGCATGAGAGGGTATAAATTTGTGGCAGGGCATGGTATCTCATGCCTGTAATCCTAGCACTTTGGAAAGACAAGGTGGGCAGATCACTTGGGCCCAGGAATTTGAGACCAGCCTGGGCAACATGGTGAAACCCTGTCTCTACAAAAAAAAAATTAGCCGGGCACGGTGACGACACATGCCTGTGGTCCCAGCGACTCAGGAGGTTGAGGTGGGAGAATCACTTGAGCAGGCAGGCAGAGGCTGGAGTGAGCCGAGATCAGGACACTGCACTCCAGCCTGGGTGACAGAATGAGACCCTGTCCTAAAAAAAAAAAAAAAATTAAAAAAGAGAGATTATAAATTTGTAAAACTGAAGGAAAATGCTTAGATAACATTCAGTGGAAAAAAAGCAGGATACAATGTTAATTATAAAAACTGAACCAGCTGTGGAGGCACTGTGGCTCACACCAGTAATCCCAACATTTTGGGAGGCTGAGGCAGGCAGATCACTTGAGGCCAGGAGTTTGAGATCAGCCTGGTCAACGTGTCTCTACTAAAAATACAAAATTAGCCAGGCATAGTGGTACATGTCTATAATCCCAACTACTTGAGAGGCTGAGGCAGGAGAATCACTTGAACCTAGGAGGTGGAGGTTGCAGTGATCCGAGATTGTGCCACTGCACTCCAGCCTGGGCAGCAGAGTGAGAATGAGAGTTGAGTAAAGTCAAGGTCTCTAGGATTATAGGGTGATATATTTTCCTTATTTTCTCCTATGTCTTCCAAATTATTGGCTACAAGTATGTATTACTTTAAAAAGTATGTCATACATAAATACATGCTCATGAAATTTCATAAAATACTTTAGAAGATTATAGGGTAAAAAGTTCATCTCTCCCCAACTTACTCCCAGTTACTTCCCCACACCCAAATCAATTCTACTCTGCTACCTAGAAGTAACCACAGTGATTCAGTATATATCTTGGCTCATTTTCAATGCATTCACCCACATAGACACACAGTTTGTTCTTGCACAATGTTTATACTATGTCGTTGAATGGTTCTGTATGGATTTTTTCCCATTTAACAAATGGGAGATCTTCCTATGTTTGGATCTTCTATTTTGCTGTTTGTTTCAGATGGCTGAATACCACACCACTGTAAAATTATACCACAATCATTCCCCTATTGGAAACAATGTCACTGTCCATGTTCTTGTTCGCTATTACAAAAATTATCACTTGAAATCCTGTGACAAATGGAGACCTTCTTTAGGGTACAGTACAAGAAGTGGTATTGATGAGTCAAAAGACATACACATTTTCAATTTTTATAGATTTTGCCAAATGGCCCTGAAGAAAGAGAATCAATTTATGTTCCCATGAGTGGATGAATATCTATTTGGCCTTACCTATAATTTTGCCAATCTGAAGGGTGAAACATAATCTTATCGTTTTTATTTGAATTTTTGATTACTAGATGTTATCTTTTGAAAAGTTTATTGCCTTTTAAAAAGTCTTACATCTTCATCGCTTTTGCCCTTTTTTAAAATATTGGGTTAATTAGCTTTTTTCTTAATTTATAAGAACTCTTCATACATTCTGGGTCTTAATCTTTTATCTATTAGGCAGGTTACACGCATTTTCTCCTAGTCCATCATTTGTTTTAACTTCCTTTATAGTGTCTTTACATTTGCCTGAAATCCTTCTGAAATTTATTTTTATGTATAATGAGATCTGTGGATATAATTTACCTGACTTTAACGTTAAGAAAAACATTTTAAAGTAGAAACTTCAAAGAACCTCTGCTTTATATTTGTCTTTTATGGTTCTCATATTTTATAAATCAAATTTATGGTATTTTTAAGGAGACAGGACTATAAGAAAGGATTAAGAAGAAGCCTTGCCACACATCACATGGCCTGGGCGTTTTCATAGCTAAGTGAATGCTGCAAGCTATGCCAGCACTGAGCTTGTCAGACATGTGAGATTTTGGGCTCTAGCTCTTGGGCAGTTTCCAAGGTCCTTTGGGTCACCAATGAGGACTCCCATCTAAGAGAGGAGACACTCCAGTCTAAGTATCATGCAAGGCCAAAGGAATGCCCCAAATGAGAACAATATAATTGCCCCGAAGTATAATTCCTCTTGTACACAAACTCCAATCAATGTGATTTTATTTCTCTCTGTGTTTTCTGAAACTGTGAGCTTAAGTTTCAGTATGCTTAAGTTCAATAAAATTTGCTGAACAGATGCATGACTATGTTAAGTCAAGTCTTTAAGCTATTCATGATGGGGATAAATCAGAGAAAGTCAGCAGTGGACTGAAATGATAAAGGAGGGTGAAGTTGGTGGTTAATCAGAAGTAGGTTTTCCAATCAAGCCTCCCTCTTGGAAGAGATGCAAAAAGCTGCGGCAAGCATTACATTTTGATGTGTGTGTTGGGATAGAGGGGATTTCACTCGTGTAATGGAAGGGGTGGTGATGGAGGCAGATCCAAGTGCTACTCCGTTCTTGTTTATTTTGACGAATCACACTGCCATGGGTGAAGCACAGCAGCTTAAAAACCTGGGTGTACATGCATATTTATTAGATATATGACACCAAAACCCCTACAGTACTAAAGCTCTATAATCAGGGGGACAGAACCAATATCCAAGGCAGGTCTATGGAGCTTCAAAGTCTATATTCTTACACAGTTTTGGGCCCCATTTGGATACAGGACCACAGTGGGATGAAACTATCTTAATGCACCTATTCTCTCTCTCTCTTTTTTTTTTTTTTTTAGATGGAGTCCCATTTCTTCGCCCAGGCTGGAGTGCAATAGCGTGATCTCAGCTCACTGCAACCTCCGCCTGCTGGGTTCAAGCAATTCTCCTGCCTCAGCCTCCCAAGTACCTGGGATTACAGACATGTGCCACCATGCCTGGCTAATTTTTGTACTTTTAGTAGAGATGGGGTTTCACCATGTTGGCCAGGCTGGTCTTGAACTCCTGACCTCAAGTGATCCACCTGCCTCTTAGCCTCCCAAAGTGCTGGGATTACAGGCATGAGCCACTGCATCCAGCCAATGCACCTATTATCTCTATAACCACACACAGAAAGGAATTTAGGCCAGATGTGCTGGCTCATGCCTGTAATCTCAGAACTTTGGGAGGCCGAGGCAGGAGGATCCCTTGAGGCCAGGAGTTCAAGACCAGCCTGGGCAACAGAGTGAGACCCTGTGCAGTGCAATAGCGTGATCTCAGCTCACTTCAACTTTCGCCTCCTGGGCTCAAGTGATCTTCCCACCTCAGCCTCCTGAGTAGCTGGGACTATAGGTGCACACCAGCATGCCTGGCTAATTTTTGTATATATATATTTTTTGTAGAGATGAGGTTTTGCCATGTTGCTCAGGCTGGTTTGGAACCCCTGGCTTAGGCAATCTGCACACCTTGGCCTCCCAAAGTGCTGGAATTACAAGCATGAGCTACTGCACCCGGCCTAATTTTTTTTTTTTTTTAATTAGCCAGGCATGATGGCACATCCTTGTGGTCCCACCTACTCAGGAGGCTGAGACAAGAGGATCGCTTGAGTGCAGTAGTTTGAGGCTGCAGTGAGCTATGATCGTACCACTGCATTCCAGTCTGGGTGACAGAGTGAGACCCTGTCTCTAAAATAATTAGTTAATAATTAAAAATTTTAAACGAAATTAAAAAACATCTAGTTCAAATTTTGAATCAGGAAAAACTCTGAAAAATTCTAACCCAATAGAATGGAAATTACATAGTAATCACTATTATTCCCCTTAGTGGAATAATTTATTTTAAGGATCATAAAAATATTTATAGGGCTTTCATGAGCTCATCTCCAACCTTCGTTTCCCAAACTATTTTCCACCATTAAGCACCTTAACTTTCAATTCTATGATCACAAGGTTATAAAGAAACAACCTTTGTGGTTTGGGAAGAGCAATATAGTCCAACAGCAGCACCAAGAGTGGCTCTTTTCAGGCTCGATGCATAACTTCCACATCCTCACTCTGGAGAATACACTATCCAAGGCATAGAGAAAGCTTAAAAAACATGAAAGCATTGGGAGATATACCTAATGCTAGATGACGAGTTAGTGGGTGCGCGCATCAGCATGGCACATGTATACATATGTAACTAACCTGCACAATGTGCACATGTACCCTAAAACTTAAAGTATAATAATAAATTTAAAAAAAAAAAACGTGAAAGCAGTCCTGACCATCTATTTGTTCAGAGTTCTTACTTTGTGGGGGTTTTGGGTCTACCACCCATGTTTCACCCCAACTGTTTCAGAGAAGGGATCTCTCGGTGATAGAATCCAAGTCCAAAGCATGCAACACAGAATCACATGTGTGAGCTGATGTTGTTCACTCTCTTTATCCTAGTGATGGCTCTGAGAATGACCTTCTCAAATAAGATCACCAGGCTCCATCTGAAGCAGTTTTTCTAGCCTGGTATAATGTATTATTCTAGAGAGGTGGGAGGGCATAGTTAGATACTATAAGGTAAAAACACCTTCATTCTCCCCCTTTTGCCCCCATCAAGTTCAAAGTCAAAATGAGGCAACCTTTACTTTAAGGCAAAGGAACCCAATAGACTAGCATATGGGAATATTGACTTTCTCTGAGACAGAACCTCAAAGCAAGGACACACATTTTTAATATCCATGCTCGTGGGAGAGTTGTGGGGAGAGATGCTCCATTTCAAAAATTGACTGGGTCTCTCCCTATAGGTCAGACACAGCTTGGCCTTTGGGCTACTATCCTCTGGGGAAGTCGACACCTGCATATTGGCATGACCTGTAGGGAGAGCCAGGGACAGGAAGGAAGAATAGCTGAGGAACATCTCAAGCAGAGCCACACTTCAGTTGCCTGAATCAACAGGTGGGCTCCGGGAGGTAAAATCCACAAGGAGAGGTCTGTGAATTTTAAGGAAGGATTCAGGAGTGTTGCCATACGGAGCAAGAAAATTAAGTGAATCAATTAGAGGCTGCCAAGGCTACCAGGAGGAGGCAGGTAGAAGGAGATAGATATCTGGGAGGGCTTTGAAGACTAGAAACAGCCTCCTCCGGAGAGTCAATACTATTTTAGGAGACAAACAAGTGTGACTGTGGTTAAAGATAATCACAGTCAGATGCTGGCAAAGGTAGACAAACATTTCCAGGCCTCTGCTATTTAGGGTATAAAAGTCTGTGTGTGTATGCCAGGCAATGCTTGTGTTAAGAGCTTTGGCGGCAGAGGGTTTACATATGCAAATAAAAATAATACCCCACAAGAAAAGGCTGCTTCTGGAAGTGCTAACCCATCCCATGGTTTCAGGCACATGATGTGAAATTGCACTAGATTCCACTGTAGTAATTAAAAGACAAAACAAAAACAAAACAAAACAACAACAAAAAAAAAACCACGAAAACTGGAATTAACTGGGGCCAGCAGAGTAAGTGAGAAGAAACCAGGACTGAACACACAAACTAAGTACTCTTGGGAGAATCATTTAATCTCTCTAAGCCTCAGCTTTGTCATTTGTGAAACATATAGGCTGACTCCCAAAAGCTGAAGACCTAAGGATGCTACAGTCACACACCTGTTCATCGTTACCATGGATATTCCATTCCTATCCAGGTCTCTATGTCCTTCCTGGTGCCATTTTCTTTGCCTAACTTAGATGGAGTATATCCCTCCTGACCCTTTAAGACCCAGCCCTGTGTCACTTTTCCACAAGGCCTCCCCTGAACACATTCCCCTCACTCCTTTAGAAGAGCTGGTAGTTCTGTCCTCTGGGCACGTACAACAGGGAAGGCAGAGGGATTTCAGTTCTTAAACTCATCATAGTTTCTCATTAGACTACAGGTCCTAGGTTGACACTTGACATAGAGGACATCTGCTGGCACCCATCCATCTCCCCAGCATCCATTTCTCTTCATGGGAGCACCCCAGATTTCACAGCTTTGTGAGTTGAAACCCTGTCCTTGCTGAGTCTCCACTCCCAGGGTAGGTCCGACAATAAGAGAAATATTTCACTCAGTGGATCGTTAACTCAAGGATGGGCATATCACTTAACTCAGGGTAGACAGCACCAAGGAAAGTCAATTTGGGGGACTTCTGACTTCTTCCTTCCTACTGAACATGAAGGTCTATATGTGATTTTCACTATTGGAAAAAGCCTACTGCAAACTATAAATCTAACCAATAGTATATTTAGCCAAAATGTCATTTCTTTTTGCCTAAAACTGGTATGTATGGTTATTGAATACAAGAAGCTCTGATGGGTTGCTGCCAACAGAACAGAAATTTTTCTTTTCTTTTTTTTTTTTTTTTTGAGACAGAGTCTTGCTATGTTGTCCAGGCTGGAGTGCAGTGGTGTGATCTTGGCTCACTATAATCTCTGCCTCCCACACTCAAGCCATACTCCCCCCTCAGCCTACTGAGTAGCTGGGACTACAGGTGGGTGCCACCAAACCCAGCTATTTTTTTTTTCCTAGAGATGGGGTTTCGCCATGTTGCCTAGGCTGGTCTCAAACACCTGGGCTCAAGCAATCCACCCACCTTGGCCTCCCAAAGTGCTGGGATTATAGGCATGAGCCACCACACTGGCCAGAATAGAAATTTCTGAGCCGTAAAAGGCAGAATATTTACCACAGCATAGCAGATAATGGTAGAAACTAAAGGAATACATCCAAGATCATCAACTTTGAACATGAATACAGGATAATAGTACAAACTAATACATACATATAAAGGTCCTTAATAGTGACCTGGTTGAAGAATTACTTAAGAATCCAACACACTGGGAGGAGACCATCTCTTTTTAATAACAATTGTCATCGTGAATCAGCCATAGGATCTACCAGATCAGCAACTTGTTTTGAACACGGACACTCCCAGGGCTCAAAACCTGGGCAAAAGGCCAATAGTTTGAGACCTAGGTTACAAGTCTGTTTTCCTTAAAAGCTTTGAGAAATAGTCATTAATCTACTTCCATCCTACATAATGGCTCATTTAAAGCTATTACCCTATAAGTTAGAGAAATGTCTGATAATGGGAAGAATGTTGCTGTTCTCAAGCTAACACTTACTGAGTGCATTCCATATACCAGGTAGCCAGGAACTACCCTAAGTGATACACACATACTTTTTCACTTGAATCTTCACAACCACCCTCAGGGATAGATGCCTGTATTTCCCCAAGTGCGCAGATGAAGACATTGCCATAAAGTTAGGTCACCAGACTAATGCCATACATGTAGTAAGCTCTAACGTCAGGAGGGGGACTCAGTCTGACCCTCCTAACCCATGCTTGGCTCTTAGAGGTCTGAACTAAAGACAGAGAATTGCCCACAAAAAGCTCTAGCTTACTTAGAGAAAATGACGCATGAGCACAAGAGGGCCAACTGGCCCATGTTCCTTCTTAGTCATAGCCCTGTTTATGATTCTACCCTGGGCACTTTCAGAGAGTGCTAGAACCCCAGCTTCAGAAGCTTTGTAATCTGGTTTTCCTCTTTACTTCGAGCTGGGGCATTTTGGAAAAACACATGCACTCAAGGTAGCCTCTCCAAACCTGCCTCTAGGCTACTTCCAAAATATATGTTAGCAATCACAATCAAACAGAATAATAAAGATTGCTCTATTTGAATCACATCTGATGCCACTCTAAAAATGTCCTACATATATAGTCACATATATGATATCACATATATATATATATAAATTTCATGGTATAGGATGCTAATCACAAATATAAATACAAATTGGAGGTGTCACTAAATCATAATGAGTTAAACGTTACAAACTAAATCAGTTTCTATGCTTTGCAGTTTCACTTTCTAGTACCTGACTTGGCAAAGCCATTCCACAACCAGAATTATAGCCACTGCCCTGTCCTGTCTTTGAAATACGTACCCATTGATACAGAAAAACACAAATAAAGATGTGAGCCAGGCAACCAAACAAGAGTTGAAACCAATATAACATAATGTGCAGATTGTATCTCATAAACCAAGGATCTGTGACTTTGGAATAAGAGACAAGTGCCATAATGCTTGGCAAGAAGCCATGGTAATGACAAACCCAGGTGAGTTATGCCATTGGTATGTTACAATGAGAGGAAACAGAGGATGGTGAGTTTGGCTGACTTTCTCCAAGGGACCCAGCCATGCTACAATAAACTCCAACAGTCCCTTGGGATAACTGCACTTATCCTCACCCTGAACTCCTGCTCTTCTTTCCCCGCGGCTGGTCTACCTTTTGGGAAGCCTTGCCCACTTTCTCTTCTAACTCCTACACACACATCTCACTGAGAACAGTTCAGTTCTGATTTTGCTCTTGCAGCCCTGGCTTGCATATGCTGGTAGAAGGGTCATAGTTTAAATTTAGACTTGACCACCTCACTGGGAATTCACTGGGAAACAAGCTGTGTGTGGAACCCATAGACACTCTGGCAGAGTTGGCTGCTAACACTCTAAAATGGAAGCACTAGTTGGTGGTGAAGCTGTAAGTTAAATTGGGAAAGGGGTAGAATTTCTAAACCAAAGCCCAAAGAAATGGGAACTTCAAAATTAGAAAGGCTGGAAAAAACCTTAAAAGGTTATTGAGGTCTTCTGCTTTGAAGCAGAACCCAAGTAAACAAACAGGATTATCTCTGGTTTTTAAATCCCTTTGTGGAATGGGAATTGGAAAAGATCGTAAAGGCCACTGAGTACAACGTCCCAAATGTTACAGAAACAGGTCTACAGCATTGCCCAAAGAGGGTCATGCAGACTCAGCTGAACCCTGCCAGCACACCCTGAATAACAGTTATCGCAGCAGGAGGCAGCAGCTGTGGATGGCAATGCCTCAGAACAGAAATGAGAGACAGATGGGAAAGGCCAAGGTGGGTTGCAGGGAATGGGACTCTGGTTCTTTTAATCTGGATCCCAGTGCCAACATAATTATGACGAGACTCAGGTTGCAAATCAGGAAGTAAGAGCCCTGGCAGTGATCCTTTGTGACTTAGGTACAGGTTCCTCAGAGGTTCTTATAGACCAAAGAACGGCAGGAGAGCTCTTGAAGCAAGTCGGCTTCAAGCAAGGTCCTAAAAAATGTGAGCATGATAAGGCTATCCAGCTTTATGCCGCTTTTACTCTACTTCCCTACCTTACGTTCTCCCATAGTAGTTAGCAAAACCTTTCGGAAATACTTTTTAAACTTGGTAGAGAACACAAATAATACCCACTTGCGGGCCAGAAGAGGGGTAGTAACAAGACTCTTGGTAGCTATGTCAGTTCCTCAGGCAGGGTCCCGACTGCCCAATCTAACCCCCACCCCACCCCTGTCCCCAGATAGTCTCAGAGCATCTTGTTCTTTTCCTTGAGAGTACTTAGAAATGTGTGTGAGGCCAGGCGTGGTGGCTACACCTGTAATCCCAGCACTGTGGGAGGTTGAGGTGGGCAGATTGCTTGAGCCCAGCTGTTCCAGACCAGCCTGGCCAACATGGCAAGACCTTGTCTCTATTAAATATAAGAAATTAGCTAGGCGTAGTGGCGTGCTACTGTGGTCCCAGCTACTCTTGAGGCTTAGGTAGGAGGATGGCTTGGGCCTGGGATGCGGAGGTTGCAGTGAGCCGAGATTGAGCCACTGCACTCCAGCCTGGGTGACAGAGCAAATGTCACCTGTCTCAAAAACAATGACAAAAACAACATCAAACAAACAACAACAACACAAAAAAACAAACAAAACGTGTGTGAATGAGACAGAGGGGGTAATGAGGGGAAGAGAGAGAGAAGGACCTATATATGATGCCCCTCTACACTGCAAAATTATGACAGCAGTTCCTTGTCCTCTTTAGATTTCTGATTATTGAGGGGACCAGGAGTCAGGAGGCCTCCAGCAAGGCCCCAGAATACTCTGGCAGCCACTGGCCTCACTGGATCTCTGGGAAGACTTCACAGGACTGGATTAAATTAGAGCACACTGGCAATCAAGGTCTGGCTTCAGGTCAACCTTCACCTTGCACCTGGCTACGGGAAGCCCCTTGGGATGTCTCAAGAAAGTCTTCCGACCTTCTTTGGAGATTCCAGGCCATTGGAGTAGCCCTTGATTTCATCAAGACCAGCTGGACCTCTCTCTCCTAGGTTCTGGAAATCAAGCTGTGATTTCAGATGGACTTGGGCCTCCAGAGGAGCAGCTGATTTCCCCCAGAATCCCTCTGGACGTTTGTAAATACCAGAAACAAGTGGCCACTGTGGGACAGATTTCTGTGGAATCAAACTGGAGCAGGTGGCTAAAATACAGTTCCAGGAACCTGAGAGTGAGTTCCAATTCACTGGGGTCCTTGGCCCTCCAGATTCCTTCCAAAGAGCTGGGTCTTCCCTCAGACTAGATCCAGTACTCCACCCTCCCTGTTCCTCCAAACATAAGGGCAGGACCGTCCTACACTTCACTATCTTCTCTACAGAGATATATAAAATTTACTACAGATAGAATGGAATCATTTCACTAATTATTATAAAGTAGAAACAAACAGGTGAAATTAGTTTTATTGCATTACATTTAACCCAGTAGCTCCAAAAGTTTTTTTTTAATCTCATATTTCATTTCAAAACAATAGCTCCAAATATCATTTCAATATATAACCAATATAAAAATTGAGATGCTTTAAATATTTACATATACAGCATATCTCAATTTGGACTGGCCTCATTTCAGGTCCTCAGTAGCCACAAATGGCCAGTGGCTACTGGATTGGACAGTGCAGCTTTAGAAAGCAGCTCTAACCAAGTTTTCCTCTGTGGTCCCCTGAATATCCCTGCTGCTTTGCTCCCACTATGTCCTTGGCCCTTTAAAAACCCCTTCCTGCTCTTTAGCACGCAGTGAGAACCCTGCATCCCCTGGGGAGTCCTCCCAGATCATCCCAGGCTGCTATGCTCACATCAGCTTCTACGTAATTATTTTAGCCAGCAATCTGGCAGGACCTCGCAGCACTGTTCCCCTTATTGTCTTTAGCAACTGATTTTTCTTTTCTTTTTTTCCCCTTTTTGTTATCACTGTTTCACATTTATGGAATAGCTCCCAACTTGGTTTACTTGGGACCAACTCGGGGCAGAGAAATATCTTAAGATTTCTATGTCACTAGCCTAATATCTGCCACACAGTATTCAAATATTTGGGAATCAACACAAAAAGTGCTCAGCCTAATTTCCTGTTTGATTAAGGAATTAATGAAACCATCTGAATGTGATGGTTGGCACAGGTCCACAGAGACATCTATGTACTTATTTTTGTTGTTTTGTTTTGTTTGTGTTTTTGTTTTTGTTTTTTTTTAAGACAGAGTCTTGCTCTGTCACCTAGATTGGAGTGCCATAGCACAAACTTGGCTCACTGCAACCTCCGCCTCCCGGGTTCAAGGATTCTCACGCCTCAGTCTCCCAAGTAGCTGAGACTACAGGCATGCACCACCAATGCCTGGCTAATTTTTGTATTTTTGGTAGAGATGGGGTTTCGCCATATTGGCCAGGCTGGTCTCGAACTCCTGGCCTCAACTGATCTACCCACCTCGGCCTCCCAAAGTGTTGGGATTACAGGCGTGGGCCACCGTGCCCGACCCTATGTACTTATTAATGATAGTAATAATCCAACACCTACCTAGATTTACCACAGGCCAGGTGCAAGTGATTTACATACATCAACTCACCTAAGCCTTGCAAAAACCCTATGAAGAGATTCCATGGTCTTCATCTTCCAGATGAAGAAACTGAAGAAACTGTACTGTATATTTAAATTACACACCAGATTTCAAAGACTTGGTACAAAAAAATAATGTAAAGCATCTCAATTTTTATATTGATTGTATGTTGATATGATATTTGGAGCTATTGTGGGGTTTTTTTGTTTGTTTGTTTTTAAGACGGAGTCTTGCTCTTGTCCCCCAGGATGGAGTGCAATGGCGCGATTTTGGCTCACTGCAACCTCCACCTCTTGGGTTCAAGCGATTCTCCTGCCTCAACCTCCCAAGTAGCTGTGATTACAGGCGACCACCACCATGCCCAGTTAAATTTTGTATTTTCACCATGTTGGTCAGACTGGCCTCGAACTGCTGACCTCAGGTGATCCACCTGCCTCAGCCTCCCAAAGTGCTGGGATTACAGACATGAGCTACTGCACCTGGTCCTTTTTTTTTTTTTTTCTTTAAGATGGAGCTATTGTTTTGAAATGAAATATGAGATGAAAAAACTGTGAGCTATTGGGTTAAAAGCAATACAATAAAACTAATTTCACCTGTTTGTTTCTACTTTTTAATAATTAGTGAAATGATATCATTCTATTTGTAGAATCATTCTATCTGAGTTTATGTATCTTGCACAGAGTTACAGCAGAGCTGGGATTCAAATTCATTCTGGCACCTGATTCCAAGTTCGTAATCATCATGATATATTGCCTTTCATTCCAGAATGCCACAAAATATACTTTTTATACCCTACATATCAGTCTATATCCTATGAATTAAAGGCATTCGCTTATTATACTCTCAGCCAGGGTATTTCCTTATATAAAAAGAATTCATTCAGAAAATGTAAACAGAAGTAAACAGGAGAGACATGAAATTCTTGGTACTAGAGGATGTTTCTCATAAATCCTCTTAAAACAAAAATAGTACATTCTTCCTTTCAAAGGGTATGAAACTGAGGGTACTTGGTAACAAGTTCTTGTAATTCCAGACACCCTTTGATTCTGGAACTATTTCAAGGAATGTATCCTAAGGAAGTAATTATGGATGTGTACTAGGACATCCATGATTGCCATTACATAGTGTTTATAACAGCAAAAATCAGAAATAACCTAAAATAGGGAGATTATTTCAATCAGAACAAATCACATTTACATGATAAAATGTGTATATAGTGGTATACTAATAAACCAGCCCTCTAAATAAAACAAGAAGCCCCAATTCATGGTGTCTGGTAACTTCCATGGTATAAATACTCCCACCATGGCTGATCTCAAGCTACTAATAGTTTAATAATCTGCTCTGGAAATCCTGACTATTTAACAATCCCTGTCTGAGCTGAGCTGGCTCCAGTATACCATGG
This sequence comes from Homo sapiens, assembly GCF_000001405.40. Taxonomy (NCBI): domain Eukaryota; kingdom Metazoa; phylum Chordata; class Mammalia; order Primates; family Hominidae; genus Homo; species Homo sapiens. Next base: position 124,595,281 of record NC_000003.12, on the reverse strand, counting down.
AATACATTCATTAAAATGTAGTAGAAGTCGTTCAATATGTTAGGTGAAAACAGTTTGTAACACTTCTGTATCATATTTCTGAGAAAAAAAAACACACATGGAAAAAAAAGACCAAAAGAATGTATGTTGTGTTAATACTAGTTATCTCTAAGTGATATAATTTTATCTTCACTTATCTGTATTTTCAAATTTTCCCATTTATGTATGATTTTTCTCAGAAAAAAAAATCAAGGTTCTCTTCCTAGTTGCAATAATTTAAAAATGAACTATTTCCCATGGTATATCTCAAAAAAATAAATAAATAAAATTTTTAAAAAAATTTAAAAAAAGGAAAGAAAAAGAAAAAAGGAAAGAAAAATCCCTGGACCTGCTCAGTGACATCAGCTGCACAATGAGAAGGCCCCAGGGTGAGAAGATTCCCAATACCTCATAACTAAGAAAAAGAGGGGAGGGGTAAATCCTGAGGCTCCAGCCACAGTGCTTGCTGATCTCCTGGGGAGGAGAGATAAAGGCTGATCATTCACTGGTCCTGCAGAAAGGCAAGGTGGGAAGTGGGACTGGAGATATGTCAGTCCCAGGACAAGAATTAGTCTGTTTATATAATCTGATCCTGGAAAGATCTATTTCTTAACCCAGGACTCTTCCCAGGATCTTCCCACCGAACTCTTAACCATTATATTAAACTAATACTAATAGTTGTCAAGTTTAAGTCTTGTCTGCAATGAAACACTTTTATAGTCATTGAAAATATCCTGGAAGGCTGGGCGCGGTGGCTCACACCTGTAATCCCAGCACTTTGGGAGGCCAAGGCAGGCGGATCACAAGGTCAAGAGATCGAGACCATCCTGGCCAACATGGTGAAACCCCATCTCTACTAAAAATTCAAAAATCAGTTGGGCGTGGTGGCGCACGCCTGTAGTCCCAGCTACTTGGGAGGCTGAGGCAGCAGAATAGCTTGAACCCAGGAAACGGAGGTTGCAGTGAGTCAAGATTGCGCCACTGCACTCCAGCCTGGTGACAGAGCGAGACTCTGTCTCCAAAAAAAATTCCTGGAAATGCATCCATAGGGAAAGATGTTCAGAAGATTAAATGAAAGCAAGTTATAAAAGCAGCATGTAAAAATGAACCCATTTAAGTAAAAAGCGGTAAACATACGGAAAAGAATATAGTAAGTGATTAGGTAGTGGTTGTCTCTAGATGGTTAGGATTATGCTATTTTGGTCTTTTTGTTTGCCTAAGTTTTGATTTTTTTCTGTAGTCAGCATAGTTACTTTTAAGAGTAATGAGGAGGCCGGGTGTGGTGGCTCACACCTGTAATGCCAACACTTTGAAGGGCTGAGGTAGGAGGATTACTTGAACCCAGGAGTTAGAGACCAGCCTGGGCAATATGGCAAGACCTCGTTTGGCAGGGGAATGTGGCGGGAGAGGGTAATGAGGAAAACAAAATAAAAGCAAAGTAATCTTAAGTGAGAAGAAAGATGCAACAACCTCCCTTACTGGATCTTTGGGCTGTTAAGCTCGTGGAAGACATAGATAATTCCTGATTCCTAATTCCTATTCCCTGACACCCCTGTGAAAGCAAATAGCAAATGGGCCTCTACAATGTCTCAAACCAAGAATTCCCCAGGGACACAGGGAGCCTTCCATTATGGAATGTTTTGCTGGAGCTGGGGAGAGGAGGCAGGTTAGGGGAGGGTGGAGGGAGAAAAGAGAGAAAAGAACAAATCAAAAAGAAAAAGACAAGACTGAGAGGAAATCTACCTTTTCCCTCCAAGTGAGCAGCACTAAGTTAGTAGTCCTCAAATTTGAGCGTGCACCACAACCACCTGGAGGGCTTATTAAAACACAGACTGCTAGAGCCCATCCCTCAGTTGTGGGGTGAGGCGGGGCAGGGTGGTCAATGGTGCCTGGGAATCTGCATTTGTAACATGTTCCCAGGTGACCACACTTTGAGAACTTCTGCTCTAAGTCATTCTGTGAGTAGGCAGACAAAGAAGAGAAGGAGCACTGCACAGATATGAAACTGAGATACAAAATGTGTGGCAAACAATGTGTTTGCAATTCTTTTAAACAACAAGGCTTGGTTTCCCCTTTGAATGGGAAAAGATAACATCCCTTTCCCCACAGGAGCAATATGAAGATTCTCATGGAGAGAGAGCAGAAACTGAGAATATCCTGACAGCTGATGACACACCAGATGCTGTAAAAGAAGAGATACAAGCCCACAACTAATCCTGCGCTGGGAAGAGCACATACCTGGAAACAGAAACATTTTAGGAGGTACTGCTTTGACCTAGCAGCAGAAGGGGTTTCCCTCCCCTTCAATTTGACAGTTTCCTCACTGTGGTCACCAGAAAGGCAAAAAGAATGTGGAACAACCTGTTTTAGTAACTCTGATCTTTGCTCTTTCACTTGGCAAAAGCTGCCTGGCAGCCTCCTGGCTGCCTCACAGGTGTAACCAGGGTTCCCCTCCTTCCAGGAATTGTAACACAGTTCTGCCAAGAGCAAAAGATATGCTCTATTAGTCATTGATTACAGCAGGCAGGGAGGCAAGCCACCCGTGGGCCTCACCTACAAGGGAGGGGGAAGATACTGGTGGAGCCTCAGTGAAACATCCAGCACCATGGGGGCTGGAATAATGGCCTGAGGGCAGCCGGTTATGATTTTTATCTAGGCAAAAACAGTCTGAAGAAGAACCAACAAAGCCTCAAACATAAAAGATGTGCAATAAATATTGGCCAAAAAGAAGAGAAAAACGTTTCCAATGATATTGCTAACCAAAGTCAAGGCACAGGCAAGAAAAAGCAATTGGCTATCTTTTTTTTTTATAATGTAGATGCTCAGCATCCAAACTTCAAAAATCGGGTTGCTATTCTCCAGTTCTTGTACCTTGTGTTGCCCCTAAGAGAAGGATAACTTAGGGATATGTAGGCTTCTTGCCAGGATTTTTTCTTTTTTTTTTTTTTTTTTTTGTTTCTTTGAGACGGAGTCTTGCTCTGTCACCCAAGCTGGAGTGCAGTGGCTCTATCTCGGCTCACTGCAACCTCTGCTTCCCGGGTTCAAGCAATTCTCCTGACTCAGCCTCCCGAGTAGCTGGGGTTATAGACGTGCACCACCACACCCAGGTAATTTTTGTATTTTTAGTAGAGACGGGGGTTTCACTATGTTGGCCAGGCTGGTCTTGAACTCCCAACCTCAGGTGATCTGCCTGCCTCAGCGTCCCAGAGTGCTGGGATTACACGTGTGAGCCACTATGCCCAGACTCTTGCCAGTATCTTCTGTTGAATCTTCTTTTATGTAACACAAAGAAATTACAACACTGGAAGTGTTATGTGGTTTTTTATTGGTCTAATTAAGTTTTTTAAAAAGGAAATTCCCACCACACATCTAGATCACAAGTTTTCTTCCCCACAGTGACAACTCCACAGCACTGAGGCACTGTTGACAATGGTTTGAGCCAGGGCCATTAAATTGCTTTGGAACTTACATTTACAGTGTTACCACCAACTGGACCTACAGATATTTAGCTGGGAGTCCCCTGAGGATGGGGTCTATGTCTAGTATTACAATTACTGCTATGGTTAATAGCTAATTTTTTTAGAGCACTTTATATGCCTGGCATTATGCTAGGCCCTTTACTTACATTGTCTTAACCAATCTTCACAGCTCAATGGGGTAAATGTCATTAGATTCCTTCTTGTCCACTCTCCCAAGCACCTAGCACAGGGCTGGCATGCAGTCAGCATAAACATTTGTCAAATAAATTAAAACACTGTGTTACACAAAAAGCAATGTTCAAAGATGCAATGACTGTGAAAGGGTAAGCTTCAAGAACAGGGACAATGGCTGGGCATGGTGGCTCACACCTGTAACCTCAGCACTTTGGGAGGTAGAGATGAGAGGATTGCTTGTGTCCAGAAGTTCAAGACCGGCTTGGGCAACACAGTGAGGCCTTGTCTCAAAAAAAGAAAAGGAAAGAACAAGGACAAAAAAGGGCGGGGAAAAGGGACCTGAATTAAGTTGAACCAGAGAGAAAAACATGAACAGATATTAACTAAGAAAACGTGTACAAGCTGCTCTGGGAGAGAGAGATGTGATGGTGGTCTCTGACATCTTCAGTTTTGGGACAGAAGAGTCCCTTGAAAGCAGACCACATTTGAAAGCAGGTACATTTAATTCCAAATGGCTCCAGGCAGTGCATTCACCCCCAGAAACAACAGATCAACACAGTCAACACCCGATTTAGAGTTTGGGTACTATCTCTACCCTTCTCAGTTGGGTCAGTCCTGCCTCTGTTCAGACGAAGACAAGCCACATGCCCAGGAATGAAAAAGAGTTGAGGAAAGAATATCAGAAAAGGATGCTAGTTCTGATCCTGCTACTAAAAGGCTGGATCTCCATTTTCTCCTGTATAAAAGGAGTAGGAGGAATTAAATGATTCCTGGTGTTCCTTCTGGCTGTAGCTTTCCATGATTTAGTCCCTTCTGCTTGAGAAGACACCCTCAGGTTTCAGACCTCAGCCTTTTCCAGAGCCTTCCTTCAGGAAAAGCCTGGGGTTAGGTCTGAAGGAAGGGGCAGGATGTGCTACTCACTGAAAGAGTAGCACTTCAAAAAGATGGGCAATCACTTCTTGGCCTTTTGGCTAAGATCAAGTGCAAAAAGATGGGCAATGTTTTTAGGGTAGAAGAAAACAGTATGAAGATTCTTAAAAGGAATACCACAAAATAGAATATCAGCAACACTACTCCAGAAGGTATGCCCAGTGTTGTATGGGCTCAAGAGTAAAGTCCTCAACATTCAACTTGCTTTTTTATTTTTATTTTTAAAGTTATTTTGCATTAAAAAACAGATACAGAGTCATAATTTGCACCTTTTATTCCCAAGGTAGGATTTATGAACCTATACCCTATGGAACCATTGCCTACAGGATTATCAGTGATTGTTGGGCATGCAGCTGTACCACAGGAGGGATATTCAGCTTCAGTTTCCAAACTCCACCTCACCCCACCACCTTCATACACCCCCATTTCTACCATGCTGTGGTTTGACTGGCAGTCAGTACTGTTATCCAGATACTAATTGATACTGTATCTAGGTAATAAATGATACACCTATCACCATTCAGTAGATTAGATAATCAGACATGGAAAGAGAAGCATAGGATTCGGGTTGAAGACAGTAAATATGTGTGCTACTTCTTCCCAGGTTGAGTATATCCCTGGTTGATTCTGCTGAGACATTTAATTTAAAAAAAAGAAAAAAAGAAAAAAGAAAGATAGAAATAGAGTACATCCCTGGGAGGCAAAGAAAACCAAGAGACATATCGCAAAAGCATACAGTAGGCCCTGTGTATCCACAGGTTCTACATCCTCAGATTCACCAAACTCTGACAAAAAATACTGTATTTGTGGGATGCGAAACCCATGGGCACAGAGGTCTGACTTTTTGTATCTGAAGATTCAATAAGGCCGACTATGGGACTTGAACATCCTTAAAGTTTGGTACCCGCAGGGGTTCCTGGAACCAATCCCCTGTGGCTACTGAGGGACAACTGTATATGCTAAATAATCAATTCAGTTTCCATCATGGTAAAGGCATTTCCTAGAAGATGAAGAAATAAAAGGATACACATCAAGGCCCCAAGGATTTTATCCCCTGGATGGTGAATTTTTATTTTTGTTTATTTTTTGGAAACAGGGTCTCACTCTGTCACCCAGGCTGAGTGCAGTGGTGCCATCATAGTTCACTGCAAACTTGAATTCATGGGCTCAACCGATCCTCCCACCTCAACCTCCCGAGTAGCTGGGACTACAGGTGCATGTCACTACACCCAGCTAATATTTTAATTTGTAGAGATGGGATCTCCCTATGTTGCTCAGGCTGGTCTTGATCTCCTGGGCTCACACAGTCCTCCTGCCTTGGCCTTCCAAAGTGCTGGGATTACAGTGGATGGTGAATTAAAGTCAACAACAGTGAATGTCATAATGGTTCCTTTTTGCAGTTACCAACACCTTTGTAAAGGAACTTGGTGTCACGGTTTCACATATTAAACTCCATTTATCAAATGGGCTATATTAATTTAAGGACCAAGGAAGAGATATTTACGTCAAGTCATAAGGTTTCTGGCTGAGAATTCTGGAACAAAGTAGGATAAGACAAAGTTATAGATAAAAATGCCTTTGGATGCCCTGTGAATCCCCATACACTTACCCAAAGCCCATGACATCAGAGACAAGCAGGAAGGACTACCCAAGTAAAGAAAGAATCATAGAAACCAATCCCTGCACCTCCCCAGTGAAGTGATTCAGTTTGGGTAAGTCCCACCTCCTTCCTCTCTTTACCTCTGAGATGTTCAGGTGGCTGGACTATCTCAGTCTAAATGTGAAGACACAATGGCACGTGGGCTTGGGATGCAAGGACAATGATACAGCAATAAACAAGTATAAATAAATCCCATGCACACTGTGGAGGATGGTAATCAGGAAAAGCTTTCAAAAGGGGACTTTTGTCCACATACCTAAAGCTAATGAAAGTTGACTAGAAACTTAAGTCTCTTGGTTGGGCACGGTGACTCACACCTGTAATCCCAGTACTTTGGGAGGCCGAGGGGAGTGGATCACTTGAGGTCAGGAGTTCAAGACCAGCCTAGACAAAATGGTGAAACCCCGTCTCTACTGAAAATACAAAAAATTAGCCGGGCATGGTGGTGCACGCCTGTAGTCCCAGCTATTCAGGAGGCTGACGCATGAGAATTGCTTGAACCTGGGAGGCAGAGGTTGCAGTGAGCCAAGATTGTCCCACTGCACTCCAGCCTGGGCGACAGAGCGAGACTCCATCTCAAAACAAAATTAAGTCTCTAAAACTGGCTTCTACCTAGAAAGGTCAGAAAAATCTCTGGGCTCCTTGATCACAAATTCCAGTGCAATACATAACTTAGCAATTTCCAGGTGATTTGAAATCTTTTCTGAACTGACCCACTTTTTCAGGCTTGAAGGACAGTCTAGCTAGTCAAAGCTATCCCAAAACTAACTCCCCACAGAGTGTGACATCAATGATTTATCACCCCTTAGACACATGCATGCCATTATCTCACTTTTGGTTGTTTTTCACCTTCAAAAAGGCAGTTATAAATGCATTTGCCTTCTTTCTTCCTTCTTACCCGATATCTATTTCCTTTCTATCCTTGGTTTTCAGTTTTCCTGCCTTTCAACACCAGTTTCAAGATAGGGAAGAAAAATCATCTTTCATCAAACCTGCTTTCTGTACTCATACTCAATAGAACCAAAAAGGCTAAGTGCAGTGGTTCACGCCTGTAATCCCAGCATTTTGGGAGGCTGAGGCAGTAGGATCACTTGAGCCCAGAAGTTTGAGACCAGCCTGGCAACATAGTGAGACCTTGTCTCTACAAAAAATAAAAATATTAGCCTGGGGTAGTGGCATGCACCTATGGTCCCAGCCACTTGGGAGGCTGAGGTGGGAGCCCAGGAGATCCTGGTTGTGGTGAACCATGATCAAACCACTACACTCCAGCCTGGGCAACAGAGTGAGACCCTGTATCAAAAAAAAAAAAAAAAAAAAAAAAAGTGGAGGGTGGGGGTGGAGGGAAAAATACAAGATAGTCGCTTTCCATACTCTTCCAAATCAAAAGATAAGTTCAGTGAAATTCATCCATATTTTCCTCAAATGTGATATTTAAAGACCACACAGGTACTTTATCTAAATCCTTGACTCTGACCCTAGTGATGACAATTACAACCACTCAGAATTCACCAGAGAAATCCCAATGTAGCTCACTTAGCTTCAAGTCAAAAATAGCCAAAACATTCCACTTCCTCTTGGTTCTTTTACTTTTGTCCTTTTCCTCAGACTTTAGAAGGAGGTATCCTTTAAATCCTGCATGACTGGAAGTCAGATGGTCAAGTCCCCTTGCCTTGGGAACCACAGCAGTGGGCTCTGAGTCATTGCTTCAGAGTCAAGCTACTCAAGCCGCAGGAGACAGCCAAGTTCTCCCTGAGAGAGAAGGGATAGAGACCAAACAACCGGCCGCCTTTATCTACAAGGTGGAGTGTGGAGGTTGCCTTTCCATTGTATTTTCCCTAAGACCAGAGGAACTGGTTCAACTGAAAAGGGAGGCAGTCAGTCCCCTGCAGTGCACACCCTCCACTTGAGAGACAGCCTCAAGACTCTCCCCTCAGCCCTTTTGGGTGTTGCAATTGGGCAAGCCTCTTCCCAAAGAGTCCACGGACTCTGGGCCATGCACTCAGGCTCAATACAGACCTTATCTTTTCAATCTGTTTTCAAATTGATGCCTACAGGCTGAGTGGAGACTGTTTTCGGTTAGAGTGAGCCTGAGGGAGCCTCAGGGCATGCCCAACACCTCAGACACGACCCCCAGCCTAGCCACAGGCAGGAGTTTTCTTTGGAGAGTGGCTAACTCACCTCCCCCACCATCGTCCTCTGATGAGCCCGTTTTTCATCTTCACACATTTCAGATCTAGGGGAGTGAGGAGTAAAGCAGGAGAAGGCCCCGGGCACCCACCTTGCCACCCTTCTTTTCCCTTTTAAACTGGTCTCATTGCTTGGACCTCTGACTCCCTCAGTCTTCATCTGAGGGTCGCTAGCCTTTTCAGCTCCCGCTCCTACGATAGCCACTCGCACGCCTCCTCTCCTAGCCACGGAGCCAGCAGCCACTGCCTTCACAGGCCCTAGGCAGGAGGCACTTACCAGGCCCTGGAGCCAGCTCCCCAGCCCTCCCCTGCATCACAGCGAGAGTGAAAGTCGGGCAATTCCTCAACAAAGCAAGGGCCAGCAAGACGCCCAGAGAGTTACCCTGAAGGGCAGCCAGGGCTGTCACACATCTGGACTCAAGGAGGCAGCTGTGGGGACTTCAGATAAGCACCACCCCAGCCCCCACATTCTGTCTGACAGGAAACGGACTCCCAAGAAATCCTGCAGAGAAACTCTTTGCGGGGAAAGCAGGGCAGCCTTCGAGCGAACCCACCCACTCAGATTCCCCTTGGCCATTTCCTGCTTCCTCCGCGCTTTATTCCCCCTTTCCCTCAATTCCCAGCCTTGGTTTTGAATGTTTCTGAATCAGACTTAGAGGGTCCCTGGCCCCTCACATTCCTTCTTCATCTGAATTCTGGTTTCTAGAGCTCAAAACCACACGGTTCCAGGCTGCTCTAATTAAATACAGAGATTGAGACCATCTGATGCTAAGATTATGACCTTAATGACGCGCAGGAAAAGTCATTCAGATTTAATTAGTTTTGGTAACCTTATATCTGCTCAGGATAGAAAATTTCTCAGGGCTATGTTGTGTGTTTGTGGCACAGAGGATGCTGAAAGGTGGCTTGGATGAAGTTTATTCACCAGTAACTCAGCCAGAAAGTTCCATTAGGATTTTGCATAGCAGATGGGATGGGAGACTGGGTGGGGTATTGTAAATGGGGGTGGAGGCCAGAGGCCCAAAAGGTGAAACTTTTTAAAAGGGCAAATGTCAAGTAGGGGGCTACATTCTCATTTCTACCCACACAAAAACAGTCTTCCCCCGCTATCCTAGCGTGTGTTAAAGTGACATGAACAGCCTTAGGAGCATCTGCTTATCCTATTTGGGAAGGTTCTGATTTTTTTTTTCAGAAGAAGCCACACAATTGAGAACCCTCCCTCTGTGATCCTTCTCGCCCTCCTGTTCGCCGGCTGCTTTGGGGGAAATTGGTTGCTTCCTGCAAGTCTCTTCCACGACGTTAAGATTAGCAGAATAATTAAATACAGTCCTAACTGGGCACAGAGAGAGTTGTTAATTAATGAGCCAAGCTCCGGCCCGGAGCTACAAATCCACGCTGGCCTGTGAAAACCCAGGCAGAAAAAAATGTGCTCCAGTCCCACGAGAAAATTGTCACTTGGCAAAAATAGTTCCTGGTGTACAGACAGGTGTCAAACACATTCCTGTAGCCAGGAGTCACACGTTAATCCCGCAGCTGAGATCCATGTGTAAATGAGAGGTGAGGTACTTCTCCGCCACTATAGGGACACACGCGGCTCTGCGTCCCCTTCCCACCCCCGCGTCCGCATCCCACTCCCTAGCAGGCTGGCGCCCTGACATCCAAAGTCGCTGCTAGGTGACTGAGTTCCCAAACAGCAGCTCCGCATCCAAGTCAGAACCTCACCGCCAGCCAGCGAGCGCGCGCGTTCTGTCTGGGAAACTGTGAAACGGATCGCAGCAAACTCTCTCACTTCGCCGCCCTCCTGATCCCCAGCCCCATCCGCCTACCCCAGAGGCCTCCCCAACCCTTCCCTCCCTACCACCCTCCCTCGCGCTGAGCGCGACCAGTCTGGCTAACAGAAGGCACCAAGGCCGCCGACAGCCACTCACCTCTACACGGGAAGCAACAGCAGCACTTAGCAAAGAGCCACCCCAAAGAGGGACCTCGGGTGTAAGCCCTGTCGCCGCCCTTCATGTTGCCCCGCCGCCCCAGCGCTCCCGCATGGCACGGGGCGCCAGCCCGGGGTGAGAGCGCGGCGGGAAGGAAACTTCAGCGCCGCCGCCCGAGAGCCGGCTCCCGCCCTCCCCGCTGTGCTCTCCCCGCACCGCGGCCGCAGCTCTGACTTACTGGGAGCCACTGCCACCTTGGGAAGCGGGGAGGGGCCAGGCGGGGAGGGAGGGCCTAAGGGGCGGAGTTCCAAGGTCCAGCTGTGGGCAGGAGACCTGGCCAGCAGCGGCCGGAGCCTCATGTAACGCTGCCTGTGGCACCAACGCTGTGGGCACGGGGCAAACGGGTGGAGTTTGAGCCCTTGGCACCAAACAGGTAGGTACTCCTTATGTGCAACTTCCTCCCTTCAAAGGCCACCACAATGGGCGTTGGCTTAAAAAATACAACTAGATGGGGCCAAAGAGGTAAGAGAGGGGCAGACTTAGATGCTCCAAGACTCAAGGATGCCCTTTTCTTCCTCGCAGCCTCACCCGTTCCCTCCCCACAGCCTCCTCTGTATTGAAAACACCGTCCCCAACCCTTTCCTTTCCTTCCGTGTAATGCTGATTACTAATAATGATAACAGTGCCTCATATTGATCAGCTCTCCAACTGTAATGACGTGAAAACACACTCTGGGTTTGGAATCATACAACCAACCTTCAAAGCTCAGTTTTGCCACCTGCTAGCTGTTTGAACTTAGGCAAGTCACTTCACCTTTTATCTTCAGTTTCCCCATTTAAAAAAAAAATGTAAAAGAATTCCTATATTCCACGGTTGTAGATTTTCTTTAAAAAATTTTCTTTAATAGAGGCAGGGTCTCGGGTCTTGCTATGTTGCCCCAGCTAGTCTTGAACTCCTGGGCTCAAGTGATCCTCCTGCCTTAGCCTCCCAAAACATTAGGATTAGAGATGTGAGCCACCACATACAGCCGATGGTAGAATTTAAAAATATCTATGGATGTCTCCCAGAGTTGCTGATTTAGTAGGTAGGAGGTGGGGCCCGAGAATTTGCATTGCTACAAGTTCCCAGGTGATGCTGATGTTGGTATAGGACCACACTGAGACCTACTTGAGATTCAGACTTTTTCCTTGCCTATTTGGCAACTGTCCCCTTTTCTTTTTGTAACAGCCCCTTGACTTGTCTTTGAGGAACCAGTCCTCCTCCCTTCTCAGGCCATGTTTCTGGGCTAACATCCTGTTACAGAGGTGAAGTTTAATATTTCCAGGTGAATGAATGCCTACAGAGAAACTTCGAACATCTTACTTACGGTGCAAGACTTCCATTCACCATCCCCTCGGCCCAATATGCCCAGTAGACCTATCATTCCTTTACTTATATCCCTATCCCTATCTTTTAAATCTTTTTCATGTTTCAAGGCCAAGCTTGCTTTCCACAACCCCCTTGAAGCCCACTTGGACCACATCAGTGGGACCTTTCCATGAACCACTGTATTACTCACAGGGTGTCTCTCCCATTCCTTTGTGTCCAGCTTTAGGGCAAAGGGCCTGCTGGAAACACACAACACTCATAAAGAGGGCCCATTCATCAGAAAAAAGGGAAGTTTGTGGGAGGAATGAAAAACAGAAGCTTGATCACCCAGGTAACCAATGCCTTCCTGGAAGAAACACACTCATGGGACAAGGCTTTTAAAAGTTACCAGGATTTGGGGCTTCCTTTCCCAGTTGGAACCATGCTTAGATTTGTGCTTTATTTATCTATGTGACAGCCAGGCATGGTTGCTCATGCCTGTAATCCCAGCACTTTGAGAGGCCAAGGCAGATCACTTGAGCCCAGGAGTTCAAGACCAGCCTGAACGATGCAGGGAGGCCCTGTCTCTACAAATAATAAAAATAAATGAATAAGTACATAAATGAGCGGTGCTTGGTGGACCATACCTGTGGTCCCAGTTACTTGGCAGGCTGAGGTGGAAGGATCACTTGAGCCTGGGGATGTCAAGCCTGCAGTGACTCATGATTGTGCTGCTGCACTCCAGCCTGGGCAACAGAGTGAGACCCCATCCCCCCCAGCTCAACCCCCCCAAAAAAAATGTGCCAAGGCATCTGCCACATGGTTGGGATACCAGTAAATGATCGAAGCATGACCTAATGAGTAATAATAGCTTACATTTATTGAGCATTTATATGCTAAGCAGTTTCCTCCATGTTCTCCATATACTATCTCATTTATCCTCATAAAAAAACCTTGTAAAGTAGTGTCCTGTTTTACCTTTGAAGAAACTGAATTAATAAACTATGATGAGGCTTTAATGGTTTAATTCTAAAGAAAAGCTCTAAAAAGCTTCACCCCTTTGGAACAGTAGAACATAAAGTCAAAAATCTACCCTCTAGTTCTGCTACTGCCATCTCCCTGATGGTTTCTCTTGGCAAGGTTTACATAAGAACGTCACTGTCAAGCAGGAAATGAATCTCTGGTGCTCTTTCTAACACATACAAAAACAGAGAAATTACAGTTCAAATTGCTCATGTTGGCTGGGCGCAGTGGCTCACGCTTGTAATCCCAGCACTTTGGGAGGCCAAGGTGGGCGGATCACCTGAGGTCAGGACTTCAAGACTAGCCTGGCCAACATGGTGAAACCCCATCTCTACTAAAAATACAAAAATTAACTGGGCATGGTGATGCATGTCTGTAATCCCCACTATTCGGGAGGCTGAGGCAGGAGAATTGCTTGAACCCGGAAGGCGGAGGTTGCAGTGAGCGGAGATCGCACCATTGCACTCCAGCCTGGGCAACAGAGTGAGACTCTGTCTCAAAAAAAAAAAAAAAAAAAATAGCTCATGTTGTCTGCACCCAAGATTCCTGATTCACTGACCATCCTGATAATTGGTCAGTCTCATTTTGCCAGACTGAATTACTGCAGGATCCTTAATCCTCACATAGTTATCCTGGGTTCCAGTTCTGACCCACAACAACCAGCACTATTATTTAGTTCTCTCTTCCATGTCACCAAAGACAATACCTATTTTGTTTTTCTTGCAAGCCCAGACCAAAACTGTCTGTAAAAATTAACTTTATTTGCTTGTGATCCATAGTATGGATGCTATGGTCCAAGGTTCAATATTTGGTTTACCCACCCAATCCCTCTCTTTTTACACTTTGGGGGCATTATGATGGGAATTCAAAGATGCTTCAAAATTTCATGGGGAATAACCAGTTTGTTTTTTACTCAAATCTTCCCTCTTGGTTTTTGTGTTCAGATAACACTGGATCACTTTTTTGTCACAATTCTTTGCAAGAGACTAATGACATCTCATCCTGCTGAAACTGGCTTGAGTTACATGTTTGAGAAAGACCCAACTCTTACTTTAGAAATCAAATACCAGTAGACCCTAAAGTAGTCCACTATAGGCAAAATGGATCCACTGGGCATGTTTCCACCGATACTTTTTTTTTTTTTTGAGCAGAGTCTCACTCTGTCACCCAGGCTAGAGCGCAGTGGCACGATCTCGGCTCACTGCAACCTCTGCCTCCCGGGTTCAAGCAATTCTCCTGCATCAGCCTCTGGAGTAGCTGGGAATACAGACGTGCACCACCATGCACATCTAAGTTTTGGGATTACAGGCGTGAGCCACCATACCCAGCCTCTACTAATTCTTATAACCCAGGAATTCATCCTACTCTCAATTTAAAGGCATAAAACCATTAGGAACCTCTTCCTATCTTAAGTTGGCAAGGTCAACACATTTTTGGCCATCATGGAGATTCATTCTAGGGTTAGACACCAATAACCCAAGAGTCCCATTGCCATCCTTACATGCCTTCCAGAATGAGACTAGCCAATGTCTATAACCTAACAAGGAAATCCTTTCCTTTCCTTTATTATTATTATTATTATTATTATTTTAATAGAGACAGGGTTTTGCCATGTTCCCTGGGCTGGTCTTGAACTCCTGGGCTCAAGCGATCTGCCCCCCTCGGCCTCCCAAAGTGCTGGGATTACAGGTGTGAGCCACCACACCTGGCCATCAAGGAAATCTCAAACAACATGGGGACACTAACTGTTTGTGGACCTACTCGTTAATTCATCAAATACTTACTGAGTGCCTACTCTGTGTCAGGCTCTGTTCTAGGTACTGGGTCTACATTGGTGAACAAAAACAATTTCAGTCCTTCTGAAGCTAGCTACTAGGACAGACTCATCATGAATGTGAGAGAAAAGTGAATCCACATCAGATATGTGACCAGGTTTATTAGTTGAGAGGGTTAATAGATGCCTAGATTCTCCAGCCTGCATCCAGATGTTTTAAGTTAATATTCTCAAGACAATTTAGAAGGGATGGTGGAGAATATGATTTTAAAACATTGGTGCTGATAAGAATCAGGAGGGAAGCATTTAAAAATATTAGGCATTAGCATTTTTTAGGCTCTGAGGTGGAACCAAGTCTGAGGCCATTGCTGCCTGAGTCCCCCCTCCCCACCCACCCCCACACACACCCTGAGATTTAGATCAATTGACTTTGGGTGCAACTGGGCGCAAGTATTTTAAAAGTTCCCCAGGTGTCTGTAATACGCAGCATAGTTTGAAAACCACTGGTGCAGTGCGGTGGTTCTCAAACTCAAGTATACATCAGAATCACCTGGAGGGTGTGTTAAAACACAGATTATTAGGCTCCATTCCCAGAGCTGCTGATTTAGTAGGTCTGGGGTGGGGCCTGAGAATTTGCATTGCTATGAGTTCCCAGGTGATGCTGATGTTGTTGGTACAGAAACACATGGAGACCTACTCGAGATTCGGACATTGTCCTTGCCCATTTGGCATTTGTGCCCTCTTCTTTTTGTAACAGCACCTTGACTTGTCTTTGAGGAACCAGCCTTCCTCCCTTTGGAGACCATGTTTCTGGGTGTGGCTGACATCTTCCCCTTGTCCACCCTCTACTCCAAAGATAAGCCCATGACCTGGGTGTGGCCAGGCAGCCACAGGGATTGGTTCAGATTTAGCACATGACTCGAGTTTATGCAATGAGCATAAACCTTGTGATCTTAGCAAGAACATCTGAGAAAACAGCCATCCCTTTCAACAAGATTTCTAAGTTGATGGAATGTTAGCCTAAAGCAGCTGGGGGTATTTTGCTATAACAATGTGGGAAGAAGCTCTCCGAGAATGAAGCCAATACAGGGAAAAGATGAGAGAGAGAGGTAGGTTTCCCATGATATCATTTGAATAGCTAGAGAGGCTTCTTCCTAAAGCTTTATTCCTGGACCTTACTTGTGCCCGCCCCTCGCTTATACATTCCTTTTTGTGTAAGCCAGTTGAATGTCTATTATTTCAGGGTTTTCACATACCTACCCACCCACTCCCAAAGTTCAGGCTAAAAGCTCCTGAGCTATAAGCAAT
Source organism: Homo sapiens (assembly GCF_000001405.40). Taxonomy (NCBI): domain Eukaryota; kingdom Metazoa; phylum Chordata; class Mammalia; order Primates; family Hominidae; genus Homo; species Homo sapiens. Next base: position 124,579,454 of record NC_000003.12, on the reverse strand, counting down.
ATATTTAAAGTAGTCTTACTTTTCAACTAGATGGCTGAGTCTCATTTATATTTTTGGCAGACTTTGTCTTCAGTGATACCTGCAGCCTAAGTCCATTTTACATGAATAAGGCTTTCTGCCTACCTACGTGACCACTTTATGTCCCACCCTCATTTCCAACAACAGTGAACCCCAAAGAATTTCTGGTATCAGCCTGCAGATGTAGTAGGCCAGGTGTACCACAATGTCAGGCCTGACATCAGGCACCAGTGTGACTGCCTCTCCCTCCACATTAACCACAGTCTTCAGTAACACTGGACCATGACCTCAGGTACCTGTCTCTTACACTAACAGACATATGCCATTTTTTTTTCCTTTAGGGTTATTCTCTTCAGATGGACAGGAAAAGAATTTTACTAAATCACAATCATTTCCCCACATTTCTTAAAGCTCAGGATAGAGAAAGAAGGAACAGCAACCATGCCCCAATTCAGGCCTAGAGATTCATAGGAGACCCTTCTTACTGTGACCTTTTATAGAGCATAGGCTTGGTGAGCCGTGATCATGGTTCCTGGTGAGTGCAGAGGCCAGGCCCTGATCTCCTTAACTCCACTCCAACCATTCCCTTGCTCTCCTTTCCCCACAGGGGTGATTCTCACCTGTAGCACTCACCCCCATATTTGGATTCTATAGGTTTTTTTTTTTTTTTAAATGGAGTTTCACTCTGTCACCCAGGCTGGAGTGCAGGGGCACATCTTGGCTCACTGCAATCTCCACCTCCCAGGTTCAAGTGATTCTCCTGCCTCAGCCTCCCGAGTACCTGGGACTACAGGCAAGCGTCACCAAGCCCGGCCAATCTATGGGTTTTAAAAAGCTCTGCAGAGGATTTCAATGTGAAGTCATGGCTGAGAACCACGGACTTTAGGGCCCAAGGCCACTCACACTGTGGATGAGTTCCTGCATTGTAGAGTTTAGGAAACACTTGAACACAAATGGTTTTACTTTCTCAAACTCTGACAATCGGTCCCTTGACCCATTCTTCCACTGCCTGCCATGCTCCCTGGTTGCTAACTGCAGGTTCCTTAATTCTCATCTTCCCTGTGTAGATTTCTGATCTATGAACTGCCTGATTGCTGATATCGGGATGGCTAATCAATATTCCCAAATTACCAAGCCCTGGCCTCCATTTGTGGCTGTGGCCTAAACATCTAAGATTCTTTCCAAGTACTAATCATTTATTCAACAAATAATTGGTCTTGGAATATTTACTATTTGTAAGTCACTAAGCTAACCTATACATGGGAGTTTATAAGGAAAATGTAAATTAAATAAGGCCTGTTCCATGAGAAAAGACAAAGAAGAACAGGGTGAATTCTAGCAGAAGTTGGTTTAATTTTCTGTGGAAGAAAAAAGAAATGGAAACAGAATAGTACTGGACATAAGGTTGGGGTTTCTTCTTTATGTGAAAAAGAGGAATTGAGACAATAGTCATCAGTAACCAGAAACACTTCAATTAGAGAGAGGAGGTACAATGTGTACATTGCTTCTATATTTAATTTGAACTCCAAATATGGTGGGGGGTTTTGTTTGTTTGTTTGTTTGTTTGTTTTGTTTTGGAGGTAGGGTCTTGCTCTGTCATCCAGGCTGAAGTGCAGTGGCATAATCAGAGCTCACTGTAACCTCAAAATCATGGGCTCCCACCTCAGTCTCTCAAGTAGCTGGGACTACAGGCATGCATCACCACACCTGCCTATAGAGATGGGGTCTCACTACATTGCCCAGGCTGGTCTTGAACTCTTGGCCTCAAGCAATCATCCTACCTCAGCCTCCCAAAGTGCTGAGACTACAGGCATGACCCACTGTGTCCAGCCCAAATATGTTTTTTTTCAAAAGTGTATAATATCTGTGTGGGTAACCATTCCCAGGTAATATGCGTTATTTTAACAGTAAGGTGTACAGAAAAAGTGTGCTTGCCAGAATCACGCATAGTAATCTCTTCTCCTTCTTATCTCTGTTTAGTGTGGTCTAACCACTGCACCACTGCTGGCCCTGTGGGTACCATCATCCACTTGGTGACAGACAGCTCCTGGACTCTAATGACTGAACCATTACTGAGCTCAGTCCATATGTCTTCACCTACTGACCTTTAAATGTGTTCCTCTGTACTTGCCCAATTGACACCTGTTTGCCTCTTTCTAGCTGTCTCACTTATCCTTAAGAGAGGCCCCAGCTCAGCCTGCAGCCACCCTCTTTTTTTTTTTTCCAGGAAGTATTACTGATCACTGTCTTGTCTGAACCAGGTTCAAGGTAGGGGGGTGGTTCAGGCCATACTGAGAGGACACAGATGTCTCCCCAGAATGGCCAACATTCCTCTTCTGTGAGGACAGAGAGGAAGAACTGCTGGCAACAAGGACAGGTTCCTGGATATCTGTACTGAGCAGCCGCCTGAGCTGGCCTGAGCTCAGGGGCAGATGAGCTATTTATCAAAGTGAAAGATGGCTGCAGCTGGAATTGCTAAAAACAAACCACTCCAGGTTTTATCTACTTCCAAAAACGTTTACCTCTAAGTAGGTCAAAGTGTTCCCAAAGTAGGGCAGTATAAGAGTGCCAGTCTATCACTCTGAGTTTCAATTAAGGTAAACTTATGATTGCTAAGTGTCCACTATGTGGGATGGCATTTTAATTCTGCCAACGCCACCTTCCCTCCTACAGGCACAAATAGCAGCTGCAGCAGCATGTACATTCACGGAGTACAGTGCAGAGGTTTCTGATGAGTCAAATGGAAAGTGGATTTTGTCTTGATGTAACTCAGGTGAGTTTATTGAGGATTTCCAATAATAGAAAGGATGTACATCTGCCAATAATGGAATGTGGATAATGACCTGCTCATCCTTCAACCAGTCCAAATAAATGAGAGGTACTTAACCCATACGTCCCCAGAGAAGACTTCCTCAATCAGGACTCCTAGCATCAGAACATGATTCCCCATTCCCATCCTGAAGTCCTCCTGCTAAAGCTTAAGCCAGTTTCCTTTACCGTTCTACATGCTGAGCCTGGTCCTTCACATAAGAACTCTGCAGAGGTCCCTGATGCATGATCCGTCCCTCCTTTCTATAAATATTTACTGAGAACTTCTTACATGGCAGCTACTGTTTTAGATGCTGGGGATAGGGCAATGAACACAGTAGACAAAATCCCTGTATTGGTAGGGGGGATTTGCAGAGGAATATTAACAAATATGTCAGGTAGTGATAAATGCAATGAAGAAAAGTAAAACAGAGAAGGGAGTATACACTGTGATGGGAGAGGGTGGGAGTTAGGGAAGACCTCTCTAATCAGGTGACATTCAAGCAGAAGGAAGTGTGACAGCAAGACATCCAAGTCTCTGAGGATCTGGGGTATCTGGTGTGTTCCAAGCAGAGGGAACAAAAGATCAGGCCCTGAGGTGAGCGTATGCATGGCTTGATTGGTAATGGCTCAGTGAGGCAGGCTGGTCAGGTGAATGGTAGACAGAATAACGTCCGCCAAAGATGTCCACATCCTCCTCTCCAGAACCTATAAATATGTTACCTTATATGGCAAAAGAGACTGTGCAAATGTGATTCTGTTAGGGACCTCGAGGCAAGGGGATTATGCTGGATCATTCTGGTGAGGACAGTGTAATGGTGGGTGTTCTTAAAAGCAGAGAACCTTTCCCACTGTGGCCCAGGGGAAACATTACCATGGAAGGAGGATCAGAAAGATGCAACATTGCTGGCTTTGAAGATGGAGAAAGTGTGGTGGTCTCTGGAAGCTGGAAGAGGCAAGAAATAGCTTTTCCCTAACAGCCTACAAAAAGGAATGTGGCCCTGATTGCTGAAACTGTGATTTTAGCCCATGGGGACTCATGTTGCATTTCCAACCCACAGAACTGTACGATAATGAGTTTGTGTTGTTGTTTGAAGCCACCATGTTCATGGTAATTTGTTACAGCAGCAACAGGAAATGAATACATAGGAGATGAAGTCAGAGAATAGGCTCCAGAACAGGTTTTGTGGAGCCTCTTTGCAGTCACAGAAAGGACTTCGTTTTACTGGAAATGAGACAGGAGACACTGGAACATTCTGAACTGAGATGGGTCTTCAGCCTGGGCCACCTCCCTGCAGCTGGGGGCAAGCAACGGGGCAATTATCTGTTCGCCCTCCTGTGTACAAAGGTGAGGAGCCAGACTTCCTGTGGCCTAGAGGCCCATGTGGAAAGTAAGGCAAGTGGGCACAATCTGAGAATCAAGATTCTGGCTGGGGTTAGTGGATACGGGGAGAAAACAAGACAACCCAGTCCTACCACAAGGGCAAAGAAAGGGGCAGGCTGTTCAGTAACTGCCCATAGGGCAGAGGGCTGGTATTCAGAATGGCAATTAGTAGTAAATGGAAAGACTTCTCATGCTTGTTTGCAGGGTTTGGGTTAAGGCTGCAGTTTCACCCCCACATAGATCCTCGGTGAGGAGTTGTTCTCAAGGAGCAAGTGAGACAGGGAAGGCAGTGTGGCGGTGAGAGGAGGGTGCTGACTGCTCTGTCCTGCAGAATCCTGTTGCTGAGAGCTCCTAGAGCTGTGGCCTGCAAGGGCTGCTCCTCAAGGCCTTTGAGGTCCTCCCATCTCTGCCCTTCCCTGAGCAGACAGGATGGGCACATCCCAAGATTGTCCAGACCATTGCCTTGCCTTCTCTTTTCCTCAAGTCACATTCAGTGCATGTCATTCCTGGGTCCCCGTGTTCTTCTAGGGGGAAAGTGTTCAGCTTAGCTAGCTGTAAGCAAGAAAACTGCACCATCTTTCCTCTGGGGGAACATTCTGTTTGCTGGGGTAACCTCCTCTCTATCATCTCCAGCTTCTTCTCAGAAAGCAGTCAGTGGCAGCCTTTCTTCTCTGGGATCAAATCCTGAGGCTCTCATTTTAGCTCTGAGCTCCATCAGCTGGTTCATTGGCTCCAAAGAGCATATTCAAGTTTGCCCCTGACTTCCCCTCTGGATGATAAGGGGCATCATCATCATGTAGATGTCACAGATTTACAGTGGGCACCAGCAGGCATGAAAACATGCTGTTGAAATTGGCATTTAACATAAGCAAAGTCACAGCAGGCTGGCTACAAAAGGGAAAAATGCAGGATCTCTGCAGAGGGACCCAGAGAGACCAGCTCTTTCCATGGACACCTGGGTCTTCCTGCTTCAGTTCTACTTGGAGACAGCACGACACTGAGTTGTATTTAGAGAAGGATGTGGCTTGCCCTGACATGTTCCTATTTGAGGCTTTGATTCTAAGCCCTTTCATGTCCTAAATAGTATTAGATGGATGTAGCCACAGGCAGGACATCTCAACCAGAACAAAGCAGGCCTGAGGCAGTTTCCACGAAACTCCTCTCTGTCCTGCTCTTCTTTGAATTAAAGAGTGGTCCCCTCATATACACCCAACACTCACAGTGTCAGCACAACCCCCATCACACAGGTCAGCCCATCTCCATAATGTGGTCCAAATGTTACCTTCAAGTACCACAGAATTAATGACAGAGAATAGGTCATGGAGAGGTGCCAGAGGTACAAGCCAAGGAAAAACTTGAATTTTTAGCTCAAATATATCAAATATTATCTCAATCCTCTGGGTTAAAGTCAAAAGAAAGTTATGAGAGGATTAAGCCATTATTTCTTGGGAAATCACGGAGCCAGATGGACCTGCTGTTGGTGGACTGTAGAAAGGACCCAGGGTAGGTTAGGAATAGAGACTGAGGGAAGGGAGCCAGTGCAGACAGGAGGTTGTGCTGGGGCCTCTGAAAACCTATGGAGGCACAATGGCTCGCACTTGTAGTCCCAGCTACTTGGGGGTTGCTGAGGCAGAAGGATCACTTGAACCTGGGAGGTCAAGGCTGCAGTGAGGCCTGATCATGCCACTGAACTCCAGCCTGGGTAATAGAGTGAGACCCTGTCTGGTAAAAAAAAGAAAAAAGAAAACCAATGGAAACTAGAAAGAGAACCCTGACCCCTTGAACAATCCTGGGGATGATTCAGGCTGGAAACACCCTGTACTCAGCCCTATAGAAGTATCAGAACTTAGACAAAGAGCAGGCAGGGAACTTCACATTAACTGACCACCTTTGGTGGGGCATAACTGGACTGCAAAGTCTACCTTGTTGGAGTTTAAGTGCTATTAATCAATTTCACAGATTTTTTAAAGTTAGAATTTTTAGAAATGGAGTCTTGCTCCATTGCCTAGGCTGGAGTGCAGTTGTGCAATCATAGCTCACTGCAGCAATGAACTCAAGCCATCCTCTCTCACGTCCCAGACAGCTAGGACCACAGGTGTATGATCACATCCGGCTTATTTCATAGATTTTAAGTGTCTTACCCAAGGTCATCATCTAGCCAGTGACCAGGATTCAGACTCAGGCCTTCCACCCCAAGACATTTTTTTGGAGACAGGGTCTCGCTCTGCCGCCCAGGCTGGAGTGCAATGGCTCAATGGCAGCTCACTGCAGGCTCGACCTCCTGGGCTCAAGTGATCCTCTTACCTCAACCCTCCAAGTAGCTGAGGCTATAGGCACTCACCACCATGCCCGGCTTTTTAAAAATTTTTCCTAGAGACGGGGTCTCGCTCTGTTGCCCAGGCTGGTCTGGAACTCCTGGGCTCAAGAGGTTCTCCTGCCTCAACCTCTGAAAGTGTTGGGATTACAGACAGACCATGTTTTTATAGTCTACTGCATACCGAGGTAAAGCCACAGACAACTTTTGTTTTATCCTAAACAATCAGCCTGTGCACATAATAATAAAACCAACCTCACAGTTTAAAAATCACTTTTACTTAACATTTCTACCCTTGAGCCTCCCAGCAACTCTGTTACATAGGCATCTTTATCAGCTTCCTTTTGCATAAATGTGGAAGCTAAACCCAGGAAGATTAGGTGACATTCTACTCAAAATAAGTGGCTTCTCATTTCATACCCTGTCTTCTTCCCACCCCATCTGATTCCCTGAGAACTAAATTCTGTTCCGTTTTCAAAGATTTGCCAGTACCCTTTTAAGGAAAAAAAACAGTAGATTACAATACATTAGGTTGGGCCATTTTTAACTGAAATTGCTGACATTCAACCTGTTTTTTTTTTTGTTTTTTGTTTTTTGTTTTTTTTTGAGATGGGGTCTTGCTTTGTCACCCAGACTGGAGTGCAGTGGCACAATCTAGGCTCACTGCAACCTCCACCTCCCTTCCCACTGCAGCCCTTCCCCCACCTCCACCCCCAGCAGCTGGGACCACAGGTGCATGCCACCATGCCCAGCTAATTTTTTGTATTTTTGGTAGAGATGGGGTTTCACCATGTTGCCCAGTCTGGTCTAGAACTCCTGAGCTCAAGTGATCCATCTGCCTTGGCCTCCCAAAGTGCTGGGGTTAAAGATGTGAGCCACTGCACCCAGTCTCAACCATTTTTTACTACAAAAATGGAGATTTCATGCACCCCAAATTAAAAAATTGGACCTCAAAATGAAGATATTTATGCTATGCTTATATGCATCAAAAATAGGATACTTTGGCTGGGTGCAGTGGCTCACACCTGTAATCCCAGCACTTTGGTAGGCCAAGGCAGGCAGATTGCTTGAGCTCAGGAGTTCGAGACCAGCCTGGGCAACATGGCGAAACCTCATCTCTACAAAAAAATACAAAAATTAGCTAGGGATGGTGGCAAGCACCTGTGGTCCCAGCTATTTGCCACTGCACTCCAGCCTGGGCAACAGAGTGAGGCCCTGTCTCCAAAATAAAAAATAGAAAAAAAATAAAATAAACACAGGATACTTTGGTTAATCCCTTTAAATTAACAAAGGTAATTACCTGATGCAGAGAGAAAAAAACAGACATTTTTAGAAGTGGAAAGGATCCTAGAGGTAATTCAGGAAGACATGAATAAAAGGTAATAAAAATGCTACTTTAGAACAAATAGCAATATGAATGACTGTAGGGAATAACCAGGAAAAAAGTCCAGCCTATAGAGAGTCTCAGAGTAGAAGGCACTTGCCTCTAAGCTCTATGCCCAGAGAGGACAACAGATCAGGTGTCTGTGAGTGAGAAACCAGGGGATGCCCAAAGTTCAAGGGTAAGGATGGACTGTGAAGTTCTCAAATCCAAGGACATTGGAAAGGACTATTAATCCATAAACACAAACAATCACTTTAAACAAGTCAGGATTGTTGAATTTAATTAAAAACATTTTGTTCTGCTCTAAGCGTTTAATAAAAGGATTTATGGAGAAATTGCTAGGCTTATATAGCTTAGGAAAGAAGTGTTTAACATTTTATCTGCAAATTGTATTACTTTCTTCTAGATACAGATCAGAAGGAGAGGGAGAATAATAATTAGCACTGGTGGATTTACACTCGGGGCTCGGACGGGGGAGAATAGAAGGAGACGTGGGTAGAAAGTGTTTGGATTTCAGTGCAATATATGAGGAATATTCTAGCCCTTAGAATTACACTAAAATCCAACAGGCTCTAGAAGTAATAAGCTCCCAGTCCCTAGAAGTGCTCAAGTAATGCTTAGCTGACCACTTGTCAAGGACATTGTGGAAGGGGTTTCTTGTATTTGGAAAGAGAGTGAGCTAGAACACCTTTCACCTGCTTTTCAATTCTAAGATCCCAGGAGCCAAAAGAAGCCAATGTTCTGGAGTCAAATTAAATCTATTCAAGAACCGGTTTTATCCAGTTATAAAAAGAGTAAGTTTCAACTCTAACTTTTTATGATTCTGAAAAATGTCAAGGAGCTCCTTTTAGACTCTCTCCATCTATCTTTAAACATACTTTTCTTCAAAAAGTATCAGTACTCAAATAAATTACAACATTTCTTATTCAAATGCATTATTTTTGGGTTTCAGCTATTCTTACCCAACAGTATTATAATTTTTAAAAACACCATACCACACCTTTTCATTGCAAACATAGGGTAATTCAGCTATGCTAATATAAAGGAAAATGTTGTGGGCTAGTGTGGAAACCTGTTCTCACCCTCATTGATCATACTCCCATGTATACTTCTGCTTCTATGAGGAAGTGAGTTCTGAATCTCAAAGGACTACCTCACATCTAGTCAATTACCAGTACAATCCTATACAAATGAAGAGGATTGAAGGATCGTACTTCAATCCTGCAATTGAGGACTGTAGGATAAAGTAAATCAGCAAGCTGCAATTTATAACATGTCACTTCGTACCTGAAAGGAAATGTTTAGGGAATATTCATCCTCTAATTATTTTTTTAGCCTCCCATAGTGAAGCCATGTTAGGCATTATGGCATAAATGAAAAACCTGAGGGTAGGGCTCCTAATGCAGAATTATACTGAAAAGTAAGAGGTAGAGAAAGACCTTTGGAGGACTCTCCTGGTAGGCAGAGGAGCCTGAACTTTTTGGCATTTTGGCTCCTGGCAGCAGAAAGTGCAGGGGACTTCCATCCTGCAGACAATCTGTTGAACAGGCTGGGCCAGCACCAGGGGTTGGCAGGCCGCTATCAGAGTTGGACTAAGCTCAGCCTGCTGTCCAGAGTGCTCCTTGGAGTCATTCTGCTCCAGCTGAGGACATCAGAATCTTATTAGTTGGCAAAGCACCCACAGGACAAAATCTGTCTCTGATTACTACCACTCCTCCTAGAGAGTGGGGCATTTGGGGCCAGAGGTGAGAGGGAGAGTGGGAAGGTGGGTATGTGTAACTATAATGGGGTTAATGCTCTTAGATTCAGCTAGACTGGCTAACAAGCCAAGTCAGATGGGAGAATAAACTAAAGTGCCTGTCTCAAAGGCTTTCAGACTTGGGAGGGTGTAGAACACAGTGGTAAAGTGAGACCTTGGGAAATGGACAGGCGTGGGTTCAAATTTAGGCCCACTGCTTGTCAGCTATGTGACTTTGAGCATATTACCTAATCTTTTTAAGACTCAGTGTCTTTATCTGTAAGATGAGGAAAATATTATTGCTATTAGCATAAAGCAACCCAGAACCTGACCCATGGTAAAGCTCAATAAATGTTAGGTATTTTTGTGAGTTGGTGACACACTTAACACAAGTCGACATTATCAAACTTGCCCGGCATTCTCAGGCTGTTGATGGTAATTGCCTTCAGAGCCCAAGTTTTATCCACGGTTCTCCACCACCTTCTGCAGCATGGGGAAGCTGTTCCTGAGGCCAAGTAGGTGGTAACAGCAGAAATCATCAGGAGGCCTTCAGGGAGAGGACTCCTCATGAACAAGCCAGGGGTGCCATGGGCCACTGTCCCTCTCCTCTAGAGCATCTGCTTCTGAGGCTCACGGGGGAAGCCTTGGACTTGGTTTCATAAGCAGAGAGGTATTTCCTTACAGCTTCTCCAGACCCTCAGCCCCAGCCAGGGAAGAAAGTGCACAGGAAAAGGAACACAGGTGTCCTGTACAGCCAGGTACAGAAGAACCTAGACTGGTTATTGGAGCCTGGGGCAGAAGTACCCAGGACCAATACTTTTTAAAAGCCATTCTCACCATTTTTAAGTGTACAGTTCAGTGGCATTAAGTCCATTCACATTGTCATGCAACCATCATCACCATCCATCTCCAGAACATTTTTCATCTTGCAAAACTGAAACTCTGTACCCAACAGGCACTAATTCCCCATTCCCTCCAGCCCCTGGCAATCATCATTCTTTCTACATCTAAAAAGTTGACTACTCAAGGTATTTCATTTAAATGGAATCATATAGTATTTGTCCTTTTGTGTCTGGCTTGTTTCACTTATCCTAATGTCCTCAAGGTTCATTCATGTTGTGGCATGTGTTAGAATTTCCTAACTTTCTAAGGCTGAAGAGTATCCCATTGTATGTATATATTCAATTCACCTGTTGCTGGACACTGGGGTTGCTTTCACCTTTTGACTATTGTGAATAATGCTGCTATGAGCATGGGTGTACAAATTTCTGCTTGTGTCCTTGCTTTCAATTCCTTTGGATATATACTCAGATGTTGGATTGCTAGATGATATGATAATCTTATTTTTACTTTTTTGAGGAATCCCATACTGTTTTCCATGGCAGCTGTACCATTTTGCATTCCCACCAGCAGTGTACAAGGGTTCCAATTTCTCCACATCCTCATAACACTTGTTATTTTCTGTGTGTGCACATTTTAAACAATAGCCATCCTTTGCAGTGACATGTTATTGTTGTTTTGATTATCATTTTCCTAGCAATAATTAGTGATGTTGAATATCTTTTCATGTACTTATTGGTCACTTGTATATCTTCTTTGGAGAAATTTCTGTTTAAGTCCTTTGTCCATTTTTAAATTTAGTTTTTGGTTGTTGTTGTTGAGTTGCAGGAGTTCTTTATATAATCTGGACATTAACCCTCAACCTTTCTAATACATCTTTAAGTATCTCCTAAGCTTGACACCCTGGGGGTGCTGAGTCCACAAAGCAGTGGTTCTCAACCCTAAGGGAACATCAGAATCACTAAGTTTGTTCTTCTTCTTTTTTTTTCCCCCTGAGATAGAGTCTCACTCTTTTGCCCAGGCTGGAGTGCAGTGGCGTGAACACAGCTCACTATAGCCCTGAACCCTCAGGCTCAAGCAATCCTCCCATCTCAGCCTCCTGAATAGCTGGGACTACAGGTGCATGCCACTATGCCCGGCTAATTTTTTTCTTTTTATTTTTTTCACAAAAGAACTTAAAAATATACTGATGTCCAGGTCCTTGGCAGCTGGATTAATTGTTCTGGGGTGGATATGAGGCATCAGTATTTTTAGAAACCTCCTCCAGGTGGTTTCTAAGGTGCATCCAGAGTTGGAAACCACTGCTACAAAGGCTTGCCTCTTGGGAGGTGCTGCCCTCCACCACCTGCTGCTGTGAAAGTGAGAGGGGCCTGTGGAAAGGCAGGACTAGGGCTGGAGGGCCCAATCCCAGTGAGAAGCCCTAAGATGTCAGAGTGGCAGTAAAGTAGCAGGAAAGGCAGCCCCACCCCAATTCTGACACACAGCCCCACTCTTTTTCACCAACCCCATCATGAATGACACCAAGACTTATCAGGAGGAAATAACCAACCACTGCTCCCACAGAAGGCAGAGGAGGGAAGGGCAGAGAGGAGCCCTAGCACTACCCAGAAGCTCAACAGGTGCTGGGAGCCCTGGTCTGCTCCAGCTTGGCCACAGACTCCCTGTGGCTTCAGGGAGGTCACCTTGCTTTCCTGAGCCTGAGTGTTCTCTTGGAAGAGAGGAGACCGGGCTAGTGCAGTGGTTCTCAACCCTGACTGCACCTTAGATTCACCTATGGAACACTTAAAAATACTGACCCTCAGGCCCCATCCAGAGATTCTGATTCCATTTGTTCTAGGTGGGGTCTGGGCATTGTCATTTGGAAAAGCTCCCAGATGATTCTCATGTGCAGCCAGCGTTGGGAACCCTGTGCTAGTGGATCATCAAGAACCATCCTGTGGTTCTTTTGTCCCCATTTCTGGGGTGATAGTCATGGCCTGAGCACTCACAAGGTGCTTAGCCCTCACACATAGTCCCTGCTTCACACAGCCTGCAAGAGTGCTGACTTGGTGCTCTCTGCAAATGCTAAGAGGACCAGTTCTCTTATGGGAATTGAAAAAGGAATTGATTCCAACCTCCTGACACCAGATGAGACCACTCTGTCCTATTCCACAACCCCCAGAGGAACATTTTATTCTCAATCTAGTTGTGCATAACTTATAAGGTAAAGCACCCACTGGAGACAAATTACTGCTGAGAGAAGAAAAGGCGGTTTGCCAAGCAGGCAGCCAGCTGGAATAAGAGAAGGAATAGCTTATTGGGTCTTAGCTAAGGCCAACACTCTGGGCAGACCCCAGAGAGACAGGGAAAGGGTTTTGAGGCTGGGCTATGTGCATAACTGCACACACTTTCAAATGGGGTCTAGTTAAGGGCATAAGGAGTGCTCCATGGAGAATGCAGACTTAGGTCCTTTTTTTTTTTTTTTGAGACAGGGTTTCACTCTGCAACCCAGGCTGGAGCACAGTGGTATGATCATGGCTCACTGCAGCCTCAGCCTCCCAGGGTCAGGTGATCCTCCCACCTCAGCCTCCTGAGTAGCTGGGACTATATAGGTGCACACCACCCCACCTGGCTAATTTTTAAATTTTTTTTGTAGAGACAGGGTTTCGCCATGTTGCCCAGGCTGGTCTCGAACGCCTGAGCCTGAGCAATCCACCTGCTTCAGCCTCCCAAAGTGCTGGGATTACAGGAGTGAGCCACTGCGCCTGGCCGACTTAGGTCCTTGACTGTTGGGAGTCGGGGACCTCTGTATTCAGAGCTCACATGGGTGAGAAGATAGTAAGACCTCACAGGATGCCATTTGAAAGCTCAGCATAATTGGCCTAAGCTTGGGGAAACAGGAACCAACCTGGAAATAAAAAGCCAAAGAAATGGGTGATAGGCACTGCTGGTACCTTTAAGAAGCTATGCTGGTTGGCAGAATTAGCTGGAAAGTTCTATGACAGCCTCCCTCCCAGCTTTGTCTCTTGCCTCTATTTTCCATTCCTGGTCTTCATCTCCTATTTTTAGTTAAATCTCCACTAATCTGTCCTATAGTCGAGACAACCCCCAGTCCTGTGCAATTCTTACCCTGAATGCTTCCACCTCCCACTTCGGGATCACAGATTGACTCTGACACTGCTCTCTGGCTTTCCACCTTGGGTTTGCTCCTGCGAAGTTGCACATGTGGCAGCCCCAGCAGGGAGGGAGTGCACATTTTACCCAGCCTCAGGCTAGGAGGCCAGGTCTAGGTCAGGAAGTCTCATCTTCCCTTGAAGCTGAGTCCCTCCTGATGAAAACGACCCACACCTGGGGATCCAAGGAACGTTAGCCTTTTGCGGCAAATGAATTGCTGTGCTTGATTTTGTCTCTGCAGATGGGTCTCTCAACTGGACTTGTGGGAGTGTGTAGTTATTTTGCTGGATAATCTATGGCAAATGATATAATAGCAAAAACTTATCATGACAACTAAAGTGCATTGAATGCCAGGCACTGCTGTGTTTTGTCTCCATTACCTCATTTTACCCTCACAATCTACCTTCTGTGTACCCTCTTCTCCTCTTGGCTAGACTTCAAGCGGAACCAGATTCCTGAGTTTCCTTGATTTTCCTCTTGTGCCTGCAATTTCAAATTCCCACACAACTTCCTGACACAGTCCCTCCTTAGTCCTCAGAGGACAGGGGGGAAAGCAGGCAATGATTAAATTGGGAGTGGAGGGCACGAGGAGAATTAGGACGTCGGTCTTAGCTGACATTTTTCTCCTGGTGGAAAAAACCCTGGAAGGCTGGATGCAGCACAAACAATTCAGCCTGCTGCTGCCATCTAGTGGAGGAAAGGAAGTCAGGCTTTGGAGGTAGACCAGATGGCACTCCAGACACCGGAGTGTTTTAAATATGTTCTGAGTTCACAGTTAACCATCAGGAAGCCTGCAGCAGGTCTCCATGCTGACCCTCGTCCCCATCTTCCTCTCCTAGAAATATCTAGCACAGGTCTGCATAGAAGGCATGCCTGCTGCTGATTATCTGGCCAGTTACAAAAATAAGCCCAGAACTAAGGCCTGGCTTTGGCTTCCTCAGTGTAAAATGCTTGGCTGCAAGGCCTCTGCCACTTGGACTTCACAAGTCAGTGGATCTCAAACTCAAATGTGCATCAGAGCCACCTGGAAGGCTTGTTAAAATACAGACTGTTGGGACCCACCGGCTCTGGAGGAGTGGGGGTTCTGATCATTTGCGTTTCTTTCTTTTTTAAAATTAAATTTAAAAACACTTTTTGAGGCAGGACCTTGCTCTGTCACCCAGTCTGGAGTGCAGTGGTGCAAGCATGGTTTACTGTAATCTTGTCTTCCCAGGCTCAAATGATCCTCCTGCCCCAGCCCCCCACTGAGTAGCTGGAACTATGGGTGTGTGCCACCATGCCTGGCTAAAATTTTTTAGTTTTGTAGAGATGGGGGTCTCACTATGTTGCCCAGTCTGGTCTCAAACTCCTAGCCTCAAGCCAGCCTCCCAAAGTGTTGGGATTACAGGTGTGAGCCACTGTACCTGGCTTTTAACTTTGATTTTTTATTTTTAGAGGTGCGGTCTTTCTCTGTCAGCCAGGTTGGAGCGCAGCGATGCAATCATAGCTCACTGCAGCCTCAAACTCCTGGGCTCAAGTGATCCTCCTGCCTCACCATGCCCTGAGTAGTTGGAACTACAAGTGAACACCACCTTGCCCAGCTAATTTTTTTTTTTTTTTTTTTTTTTTTTTGAGACGGAGTTTCGCTCTGTCGCCCAGGCTGGAGTGCGGTGGCGCGATCTCGACTCACTGCAAGCTCCGCCTCCCGGGTTCACGCCATTCTCCTGCCTCAGCCTCCCGAGTAGCTGGGACTACAGGCGTGCGCCACCATGCCCGGCTAATTTTTGTATTTTGCCCAGCTAATTTTTTTAATTTTTTTTTTTTTTTTTTTGAGACAGAGTCTCGCTCTGTTGCCCAGGCTGGAGTGCAGTGGCACAATCTTGGCTTGCTGCAGCCTCATGGCAACCTCAGCCTCTCGGGTTCAAGTGATTCTCCTGCCTCAGCCTCCCAAGTAGCTGGGACTACAGGTATGTGCCGCCTTGCATTTTTAAATTTTTGTAGAGACAGGGTCTCACTAAGTTGCCCAGGCTGGCACCTGCATTTCTAACAGGTTCCCAGGGCATGCTGATATTACTAATCCAGAGACCACCCCTAAAGAAACACTGTCATGAGGAGTTTAGTCTCCCTGGCATGAGAAAAAGTGAGTAAACAGGCATGTGAAGGGAACACAGAGCTTACATACAATAAAAGCCAAGGCTAGAATACTTTATCTGTTGAAGGCACATAAAGGAGTCATGGACCTCAAAGCCTGGCTGGGCTGAGGGAAGGATCAGATCTGACTCAGCTGTGGCTCCTCCCTGGGTGTGCCTGGTGTCTCCAGGTCAGCATGTGAGTACTTGGTCGGGGGTCAGAGAGCCAGAAGTTGCTGTGGAGCGGGAGTGGGTCAGTGGAGAAAGGATGAGTCTAAACCATATTTGGCCAAAGGTAGAAGAGGACTTTCCCGAATGTAGTGTGATATGATGGGAAAACTGGAAGAGATCTTGGAGGTTACTTAATTCAACCTTCATTTCCAAGATGAAACTGACTCAGGAAGGCTAAATGACTTTCCCAAAGTCACACACAGTTACTCGGGAGCTCTTCCTCTCCAAGTTCCCAACCCATTCTCTTCACAGTCAGGTCCCAAAGAAACCCCACAGGGTAAAAATGGGTCTGTGAGACAGGTCACTTCCATGGTGGTCTTCAGCTAGAGTCAGGCCAGCGCTCATGGCCTCCTTGGTCTGTGCCTCCCACCCGCTCTGTTCTCCTACCTTTCACCAAGGGGAAGAAGCAGTCCATCTCCACGCTGCTTCGGGAGTGTGAGATGCACAGGGCGCTGCTGGGGACCAGACCCTCCAAGGGCGGGCTCCGTTCGGTGGTACGGACCAGACACCAACCAGGCCGCTCGCTGGGCCGCTCCAGCAGCTCTACCGTCTGCCCCACCTGGATGGTCAGCTCACTGCTGTGGCCCGCACTGAAGTCCTGGAGGACCACTGTCAGCTCACATCCACCAGAGAGCTTTGGAGGGTGGTGGTGGAGGGAGTAGAACAGGAGGGCATGGAGGAAGGGGGGAGAAATATGGGAGAGGGTTGGTGAGAGGGGACGAAGGATGTGTGAGAGCAGAGGTAAGGAGGAAGAGAAGGGGAATAAAGAGGAAAAATGGTGTTTAGGGCAGAGAGATGGCAGAAGATGAAAAGGAGAGTTGAGAACAGGAAAGAAAACAAGAAAAAAATGTAATTAGCACAGTGCTATTCAATCACTCAGGCTTTCTAGCTGTAGCCACAGTCTGAAGCCTGCCCAGAACCAGGGCTTTGATTCTAATTCCTCTTACTTCGTTAGAGCTCATTATTCCTTTGCCAAGCTTCAGCTAATTGTGCCGTTAAACCCCTTCCCTATATGCCCCTTTACTCCTTCCAAGGGTTCTACCCTGTGCCCTGTCCCTGCCCTGACTACCACCCTCAGACTCCTATTGTATGGGCATCTATTCTAACTCACCCCTCCCATTAGATTCTCACTAGATGATAGGGAATAATGGAAGAGACAGCCTTCCTTCCTTCTAACCCCTGCAACACCTCCCATCCCCACCCCTTACTGGAGCCATCAGCCTAAAATCGAGGCTACGAGGACTACAAAAAGAATGGGGCTTCAATTCAAAGGCAGAAGTAAAGCAATGTCTGTCTGGGAGGGGAATAGCCTCAAAGGCTCAGGCACTGGGGACCAGGAGGAAGAATCAGAAGGGAAGACGGGCCACTTCTTACTTAGGAGCATACGCCCAGCCCTCATGCTCCATGCTGGCTTGTCTCCACACTGGCATCTTCCTAATTCACTGATCCTGGGGCAGAAGCAATAAAAGGGGTTGACAGGAACAACCCCTACTGGCTGAATGCTGAGACTTCTCACTTTTTCACCTTGGGGATTTGGCCCCACTTCCCCCCTTTCTTCTGGCTTCATATTTCCATGAGAATCCATTCGGTTATTAGTTTGTCTCATAGAACTAAGTACAGTCTCCCTCTTGGAAGAGCAGCTGCACTTAGAG
Organism: Homo sapiens; assembly: GCF_000001405.40. Lineage (NCBI taxonomy): Eukaryota > Metazoa > Chordata > Mammalia > Primates > Hominidae > Homo > Homo sapiens. The sequence goes on along the minus strand of NC_000003.12, from coordinate 124,561,824 downwards.
GCAGAGTGACAGGTAGGGAACGGAAGGAATGAGGAGGCTGAGGCCCAGCTTGGTAGCCTGTTATCCTCTAAAGTTCACCCCAAAAGCAGTTTGGAGGCAAAGTCCTTGCACCACCTCCAGGAATTCGACTTCAGTCTGTGCATCTCTGATTTAAGCCTTCAGGGCCCAAATTTTCTGCACCAGTGGCCATATTAGTGCACTTGTCCAAATATGTTGTGTAGCCATTTCACACACATTCTGGGAAGCTTCTGCCCAGTGGCATACACAGTGAACGCCACAGTGAGTAGATAATTAACAGTCCCACCAGGACCAAAAGCTCAGCATTCAGGACTGTGAGAGATTTACACTAAAGGGACTTCGATATCAGAGGGGGCTTGAAACGGTTAAAATAATGCATCAGACTGATGTTGGCAATATGCATCACCACCAGTTACAGGGCAGGGAGTCTGTGCTAACCACGTCCCCATAGGACTGCCATTGGGATCAGATCAGGAAATCTGCAGGACAGAAGGTAGAAGGTAGAAGGTGGAAGGAGACAGAAGAAAATATTTTTCCATTTAACTCTCCTGGTCCCATTAAATGCAGTCTTCACTCCCCCACTCTCCTGGTGCTATCCTCCTTAAAAACATCACAGAGAGAAGGATTTTGTGGGATGGAAACACCTCAAATCTCTAGAGTACTTTTACAGTTAGCAAAATACCTTTGCATTAATTATCTACTTGGTCCTCACAATAACCAGGTGGTACTATCATCTCCATCTCATACATCAGGAAATTCAAGCTCAGAAATGTCAATATCAGTGGTTAGGCATTGAGTATACATAAAAATCATGTGGAGAGCTAATAAAATGGAGATTCCCTAGCAGTTCCTTCTCTTGCTCCACCCCTCAATCACACATCATGATTCAGTAGGCCTGGGTTAGGGCCTGGGAATGCCTTCCACTGCCCCCAGACAGGGTCTCATTCTGAAACCCAGGCTGGAATGCAGTGGTGCAATCTTGGCTCACTGCAGTTTCTACCTCTCTGGCTCAAGTGATCCTCCCACCTCAGCCTGCTGAGTAGCTGGGACCGGTGTGTACCCAGTAGGTGGTACAGGTGTGTACCACCACACTCAGCTAATTTTTATTTTTATTTTTGTAGCGACATGGTCTCACTATGTTTTTCTTGAACTCCTGGGCTCAACTGATCCTCCCGCTTCAGTCTCCCAAAGTGCTGGGATTCAGATTCCAAAGTGCTCTGTAAGAAATACACTTCATATTTTGACCAGGGAACACTACATGTGAATAGATTTATCACTGAAACACAAGCTCCACTCTGACATTCTATTTTATGTTTTTCTCTATTGCTGTTGACATCCCACTAATTTGATTCCACCTCGCTAATGGACTCTGTAGAATGCCGGCCTAGATGACTGAAATTCTTTCTAACTGAGAGACTCTCTATCACTGAGCTTCTGCACCTCAGTAGAGCTGCTCCTCTGCGACCACGCCAGGGGCTCAGGGTTGCTTCTTGAGGCCAAGCTCACACATAGCTGGGGATGCAACTTGCAGCCCTTTCAGGGCAACATGGTTGAATCCAGGGATGAGTGTAGTCCTTTTGCAGACTGTTAGAGCAGAAGGGGCCTGAAGCTCTAGTTGCAAACAGCCCAGCATGGCACCCAGATACAAGACCCACTTCCCTCTAGGGTGGGTTACAATCAGACCCATGGGCTGGACGGGAGAGGATAAAAATCAGGCTTCTGTCTCTCTACAATTCAAGACACAGTTCCTGGCGAGAAGCCTAGATACGCCACTAGATGGCAGTGTTTGCCTCCTGTAGGCTGCCTAGTCCAGCCAAAGGAAGAAGTGGAAACAAGATCAATGGGCAATTTCTTCCATGCTCACACGTTGTAGACAACCGGGCTCAAGCTTTAGATACAGCCCAAAAGCCATTATGGTTCAAATAGATGATGAATATCCTGGTTCACTTCACCTCAATGGCTTGATCAAAAAGATATACTACACCAGGTCCCTACCCTGGCAAGAAGCGAATTCCAAAGAATGGCCAACAAGGGAGGGTGCTGGGGAAATGGTTTGAGGGGTCAGGCAGAGCTGCTCCTGCAACAGTCCCTCCCATCCTCTCCTCCAGGGATGCTGTAGGGTAAGATTCTAAGACCAAAGTTATTCCTACTCAGGGAGATGCTGGGAGCTGAGTAGGCAGCACAGAATCTCGGCATGCATTCAGGTTATGTTTTTGATTCTTCTCTGATCTTGTACCCCTGCTTCTGGAATCTTCTCTCATCTTACTCCCCTCACTGTATGCTCCCACTCCAGCAGCGAGTCCCTGTCTGGCCTTTCATGCCTAAGTCTTGGCCCCCTTCCCAGGAGCTCTCAGATATTTTCTCTGCCTAATTCCCTAGAACCCTGCCTAAGGCCTGCTAAGCCTTCTTGATGCTAATTGTCTGCCTGGCTTCCCTCCAAGTGCCTGCTGCTGAGTCACCATCCAACTCCTTGTCCTTACTTTCCCAGTCTCTCTCCTTTCTGGGTCCTGGCCATTCCCAGTGGGGCCTGTTCCCCTGCTGACCAATCCCTGGGTGGACACGGCCTCCTTCACCCTCCGCAATGCTTCCCAGAGGGGCAGAAGGAGCTCCTCCTGTCCTCACTTTCCTCCAGCTCCACAGTGATAGCTGTGCTGGCTTCTTTCCAGCATGGACCGCTACATACATAAGGGACATTTCGTAACCACTCTTTGTAACTCCATCTGCATTTTCAAAGTTCTCACGTTCACCAGAAATGATCATTTTCATTTAGGTCTATTTTTACATGATTAATATTTGGGGATTAACTGAACCTCCTTCTTGTATAAACTGTGTGAGCTAGATTGTCCCTTTGAGCTTCCTCATGTTATGGAAAAGACACAGTTATTCTGTGATGGTTTCCCAATGGCATCCAGAGAGTGAGGACAGGACCCCTGAAGAATTCTCCTGTTGTCATTTCAGAGCTTCCATTTGTGCACCTCTGTGTCTCTGCTCCATTCTCCAAGGCAGCATAGCCTCGTTTAGGGCATGGGCTCTGCAGCTCCTCACCAACTGTGTGACCAGGAGCAAGTTACTTCACCTCTTTGTCTCAATTTCTTCATCTGTCAAATGGGGATAATGACAGTATCTACTTCACAGCTTGTTGTGAAGATTAAATGAGATAGTATTAAAGCACCTAGGATAGTGCCTTAAGCAGAGAGAGCTAAATGATTGTCTAAAAAATAAGTTCTGGGCTGGGCGCAGTGGCTCGTGACTGTAATCCCAGCATTTCGGGAGGCCGAGGGCGGTGGATCACTTGAGGTCAGGAGTTCCAGACCAGCCTGGCCAACATGTTGAAACCCTGTTTCTAATAAAAATACAAAAAATTAGCCAGGTGTGGTGGTGCACACCTGTATTCCCAGCTACTCAGGAGGCTGAGGCAGGAGAATTGCACAAACCTGGGAAGCAGAGGTTGCAGTGAGCCGAGATCATGCCATTGCACTCCAGCCTGGGAGTCACAGTGAGACTCCCTCTCAAAGAAAAAAAAAAATTCTGGCGGTATTAGTGAATTATTATTTAAATTTGGGAGGAAAGGAGTACAGAAGAAATTTTAAACATCAATTTTGATGGCATGTTGTTTGGTAACAGACTGTATCAACTGTATATATGCATATACATTATTATGTAAGTGAATCCTTTTTTTTAAAGTAATCTTCATGGAGTTTTGCCCTAACTAGAAGAACTGACCCTGAGGCTCACTAGGGAAGGTGACTCAGACCTCCCTCAAATCAGCACATACTTTTCCTGTTATGATAAAAACAAAGACATGGTGGGACCGAGGAATCCCTTATGCAAAATGAGGATTCACTCTTGCCTCTTCATTCCGCATTGCTTTCCAGGAAGCTTCCATGTGAAGAAGCCCCCTTACCCCAGAATCTGATACCTGCCCTCAATACTTGCCAACTGAGCCTTCTAACTGTGAATACTGACTTCTGACACTGCCTTGCAGAGCACTTGGATCTGATACTCTTGACAGAGGGGGAGCTGTGCCCAAGAGCGCCCATCAGATAAGTCCGACCTCCTCTTCCTCCCCTGGCTGCCTGCCCTGCAACTTCTTCCATCTGATCATCTGATTCCTCCACAACTCTTAGCCAGCCTTAGGCACCAAGTTCACATGAATTAACATCTACATATGAACAGCCTCACAGGAGGCCAGAGCTGGCTGGCAAAAAATGTAAAGCTGGAGCATATCTACTTGGCACAGTTTCAAGGGCACCGTGAAGTCCTGCCAACTCCTGTGCAAAAACTGTCTTTCTCTCCTCCCCTCAACACTCCCTGCACCTGCTGCTAATGCCTGGAATTCCTCCATCAGAAAGTGATTTCATTTAATTAGGTAATGTCCCTTAACATGAAACACCTCAAACCAGACTATGATTCCCTTCCAAATGCAAAAAGATGAGATGCACCACACAAGTGACATGCAGCTGTACTTTAAGCATGAAAATGCTCATAATAGCATTTTTTCAAATGAAGAAAATTTTACAACAATAACATCACCGCCCCCCTGCCCCAATACTAAAATATAAAAATCTACCCAGTGGGAAGTGGATGAGGGTTAAAAAGCTACCTATTGGGTACTATGCTCACTATCTAGGTGACGGGATCATTTGTACCCAAAACCTCAGCATCACACAATATACCTAGGTGACAAAACTGCATGTGTAACCCTTGAATCTAACATGGAAGTTGAAATTACTTAAAAAACCTAACAGGAAGGGAATGGTTAAATAATTATGATATATCTACTAAGTGAGTAATTAATTATGCAGCCATTAGATTATTTATAAAGCTTTGTAATAGCTTAAATACTTATATAAAGTAAAAAATTTTTTAAGAGGACAAGACGTACAGTTGTATATATAACTGTGTGAACATCATCAACAACTTAGCAACCCTATTCATAGGAAACAGAAGGAAAATTCGTTGAAATGTTAACACTGGTATTGTTGGGTGGTGCACTCTGGGTAATTTTCCCTCTGGCTTTCTGATCTCCAGTATTGCCCAGTGTTTCTCACATAAGTGCTGCTTTATAATGAAAGTAATGATAACATCAACAATAACAATCTCTAAAACAAATCAACAAAGGTAATGGGGAAAAATGCAAATATTTCAAGGAGGTGTAACACTTTGAGGGGAGAAATGGGGGAGCGGATAGACAGTTTCCAATTTTGCTCTAGGGCCACTATAGAAGCTTCAGGAAAGCCCCAAATTGCTGATGATGCTTTAGTATAGCTGCTTCAAATCCTTCCTCTACTAAACTTCTGTCCTCGCCCTACTATAAAACTCTGAAGGCTTCTCCAGAAACTAGGTTCCATTAAAAGAGCTTAGTGCTGTGCTTTTATCTTGAATTGATTATAATTTTTTTTTTAGCAAATGTGTAAAGCAATGTCTGGGCATTTAGGAACATTGTCGTGGAGCTCTGGGATTTCATCAGTTTGTATGTTGGAAGCCCATGGAGCTGCCAGGTCCAATTAAGAGGCTAAAGCTTACAATTTACTTTATCTTTGCTTGCTGGAACTGTGGCTTCTACTAACTGCAACTGAAGGAGCTGTTTGGTTTAGTTGTTTCCCATGGTGTGTAAATGAGCACCATGGTCCCCTGGTCTTGCAGGTCTTGTGAATTGCATAGTAATTAATAGTGGGAAGAATGCAGGAGTGGGAATCAGGAGGCCTTGGTGCTGGTGCAGGTTTTACCCATGTATGACACTCAGCAAACCCCTTCCCTTCTTCATACCTAAATTTCCTCATTTTTAAGATGAGGAAATTGGACTCCAGGGCTGCTTCCAGTTTTAATATTTGATAAATAGAGTAGTTTCTATATTGAATCTCTAACACACAGTGCTACTGAATTTTCTTGAGCACTTATCATTAATGTGTTGCCTTGTTTACATAAATTATGTGTTACTCTTATCCTATGTAAGATACAGAAGAGCAGAGCATTCCGTCTTGCTCATGGTCCTATCTCCCGAGTTTAGAGCAATGCCTGGCACACAGCAGGTGATAAATATCTGTTGAATGCGCGAGTGAATAAATTCCATGAATTATTGCCTGATATATAACTGAGATGCCTAGTTACAATGTCTGAGAGGTGTCTCCCATTGGCTGCCCACCTATTCCTATTAGTATCTTACAGATAACTGTTAATTTTTTTTTCTCAGCCCCTTTCAACCAAATTTATCTTGCCCTTTAATCATGTGACTATATCTCCATGAATTCCTAAACCTGACAAAAACAACATAAGGTGTTAGTGGGGGGAGACACAAATCCACAAGAACAAAGAGAATGGGAGGTAGTAAACAAGATAACTTTATTTATTTATTTATTTATTTATTTATTTATTTATTTATTTATTTATTTTGGGACAGAGTCTCGCTCTGTCACCCAGGCTGGAGTGCAGTGGTGCGATCTCCGCTCACTGCAAGCTCTGCCTTCCGGGTGCACGCCATTCTCCTGACCTCGTGATCCGCCCACCTCGGACTCGCAAAGTGCTGGGATTACAGGCGTGAGCCACTGCGCCGGGCTGAGAACTTTTTTTTTTCTTTAATGATAGAAAGCAGATGCAAGAATGATACTGACTTGGTAGAATGAGAAGATGAGATTCAAGCTCCTGCCAGTTATCTCTGCTCAACCCTCAGACAGCCCCAGGGAGTGGAAGCACCAGACGGCACTGAGGATGGACCTACAGGTGGGGCTAAAACAGGAAGATGGGACTCCTAGATCCCTCTTCTATCCTATGCGCACTTTCCTGAAAAATGAAATTCAGTGAAGGCTTAAATGTAGAATGGAGAGATGGCTAGTATCCTTGTCCCTCTTGGATCCCAGAATGCTAGCAGCCACATATAAACATGTTAGGGAGATTTTAGAATCATTCATGGGAGAAACCAAAAGATGTACAGATACTCAAATACTGACACTTAGAGATCCCTCTCTGCTCCCAAAACCTCCAGTGTCCTGCCAGATCACTTCACAGTGAGAACTTTAAGTCAACAAGTTCCTTCCTTTACACAGAATATTGAGTCAGCCTTTGTGCCTCAGTCATAAATGTGAATATTCAGCTATAGATTACCAGACTTTTCAGAAAAACCTCTCTAACAGAGACCAAAATAAATAAACAGAAAAAGGACCAGGAACTCAGAGGAAACAAAATGCAAGCAGGACAATAAAACATCAGTAACACTATAAAATCCTCAGAAAGATAAGAGAGGATATTGTATCCATGAAAAAAGAACAAGCTGTTACATAAAGGGAAAAAGTTGTAGAGTGAGAAAGAGCTCTCAGAAGTTAAAAATGTTATGGCTGAAATGAGACATTTCATAGATGAGTTGCAAGATAATGTCAAGGAAATTTTCCAGAAAATGGAACAACAACCCTGAAAAAGGAGAATGTAATCTGAGGGCCTTTTGGTCAAGTTGTGCTGCTGGCTTCCTTTGAGCATGTAGCCTACTAAAAACCCCAACTTAATTCACAGGGGCTTCTCAAACCTCCACCTCCCAGGTCAAGTGATTCTCCTGCCTCTGCCTCCCAAGTAGCTGGAATTACAGGCGCATGCCACCAAACCTGGCTAATTTTAGTATTTTTAGTGGAGATGGGGTTTCGCCATGTTACCCAGGCTGGTCTCGAACTCCTGGGCTGAAGTGATCCTCCCACCCTGGCCTCCCAAAGTGCTAGAGTTACAGGCGTAAGCCACGGTGCCTGGCCTGTGCCTGTTCTTTATCTCTGTACTCCCTGCCTAGGCTTCAGAGAACATCTAACTAGACACTGACTCAAGTTTGGGTGAGAAGGGCAGAGCCATACTCTCCTCGGGGAAAGAAGAGGCAGTAGTAGCAACTGGTATTTATTCTCCCTTCTATCTTCATCTCATTGCCCCTGGGGAACCCACACAAGTTGTCAATAGAGATGCGGCTGGGAGGATTAACCCACTGGCAACTTTGCCTCTGCAACACTGACCCTCAGGCTGGAGGTAACTGTCCAACTGTCCTGTCTACAGGGAGGCATCTCCTGGCTCCTTTGTGCTTAACTGAGGCTGTCTATACTGCTGTTTTGATTGTGCTTGCACAGGAAGGCATTTCCTGCAACACACCCTATAGCTTTGGAAGGAGGAAAGAGCTCATAGACATGATTCTGAAAATCCCAAGGCTACCTATAGAAGAGGGAGGAGAGGTGGCTGGGTGAAACCTGATCAAAAAGAGCAATTCATGGTTAGAGAGAGAGAAGAAGTTACGGGCTTCTCTGAAAGCCCCAGGCATTCCTGCAAATTGTCTACTGTATGGACTGTGCAACACTGGAAAACTGAGCTTCAGAGGAAACCAGGCCAAAGACCAGAGACGATTTTCACAGAAGTGCAAAATGTCATCAAACCTCAGTTATTCAGATGTGGGTAACCATTTCCCTTTCTGTGGATTACTGGGTCTGGAGCTAGACTGCTTAGGTTTGAATCTGTCTCAATCGCTACTATCTGTATCATCTGGAGCAAGTTAATTAGTCTCTCTTTGGCTCATTTTCCTTATCTGTAAAGTAGGAATCATATTAATTCCTGCCATATAGAGTTATTGGAAGGATTACATTAACACAGGTAAACCCTGATATGCATTACATGCTTAATAGATGTTATATATTGTTTATCCAGTAATCATAACTTGGCATGCACTTGAGATGTGTTTTCTTGCACTGATATCTTGTGTCGAGGGAGTAGAAATCCATTTCCAGGGCTGGGCGCGGTGGCTCACGCCTGTAATCCTAGCACATCAGGAGGCCGAGGTAGGCAGATCACCTGAGGTCAGGAGTTCGAGACCAGCCTGGTCAACATGGTGAAACCCTGTCTCTACCAAAAATACAAAAATTAGCCGGGCATGGTGGCGGGCGCCTGCAATCCCAGCTACTTGGGAGGCTGAGGTGGGAGAATCACTTGAACCTGGGAGGCGGAGGTTGCAGTGAGCAGAGATTGCACCACTGCACTCCAGCCTGGGCGACAAGAGTGAAACTCCATCTCAAAAAACAAACAAACAAAAATAAATCAATTTCCAAAGCACCCTTAATGACATATCTTGAGATAATCTGGCAGACTAGAAAGAAAAAAATAGTAAACTATTCCCAAACCCACGGTTCAAAGATTTAGTACCCTAAATTTAGGCTATAATTTCCCTTTGTAGGGCCACGGATGTGACTTTCTGCTCTTCCTATACTGGGCATCCTAGAGAAACAACAGATTGGAATCAGACTGGGAAGAGAATTCTTGGAACTGGTTGCCAAATCAGGGTAGATAATACATGTTTATTTACACTGTGGTTGTAGGGTGGAGGTCAAGGTATCCAGTCACACATAGAAACCTGGCAAACTAATTCCTGGAAAGAGGCCAAGCTCTCCTCTGGTTGACCAGGAAACTCTGGTTGGTCTAATTATTGTTAGGTAATCTGGGGACGGGCAGCCTGTCTGCCAGGACTGGAGATGGGAAGAGGGCACATGCGGAGCACCTGAGAGGGGAACAACCTGCCTCTGTAAGGGGTCTGGCTGGGAGCGGGGTGACTTACAGATTCGTGTTCAGAAGAAACAGCGCATTCTAAATGCTTTGATTCAGAAAGCAAATACTCCTGGTCACTGTCTCTCAGGCCAGAAGAAATGTCAGCAGACATCTTGTTAATTTTTCATCCTCAGGCAGACTAAGATAATAATTAACATCTGTATGGCCCTTTATAGTTTATAAACTATTTCATAGACATCATCTGACCCTCATAGATCTCATAAGGTTGGCATTATCATCCAATTTTATAGATGAGGAAATTGAGGCTCAGAGAGGTAAAATGACTAGCTAAAGATTGCATCCTAATAGCTAACTGCAAAGGCAGGACTCCAAGCCTAATGAGTCCAGCCTCCTCATCCATGCACTTATTCTTCTTCACCAGCCAGCTGCTGTGCTGGGCATGGGGCATACAGCAGTCAGGGAGACAGCTGTGATGTCCCTACCTGCACCATGCTTACAGTCTCTAAGGAGACACACATCACGTGTATGCATGCTGAATGTGACAACAGGAGAAATGAGGGATGCTGGCCCAGGGTTGGGGAATGGGGTCCCTCAGAAAGTGATTGGCTCTTACCAGTGCTGCCTCAGTCCATTGCTCCACTTGCTACTGCTGTGGTTGTGTCTTCTCAGAGCTGTTTATCTTGTTAGTTTGTGAGCCCTCCCTTGGCTGCAACAGTCAATAACATCTTCACGCCCGCTTAGCTAGGAGCCAGCAGGACCCTCGAGCATCTGCCTCTTTCTAGGTCAGTTGCTGAGCACCACCAACATGAGCCCATCTCCAGCTGTGCTGGCACCACCCCAGATCCAGCACATGTGCCCAGCAATGAGTAGAATTGGTATCAGCAACGGAAAGGGTTCCCAGCATCTTAAAGCATCTTCATGTCAAGTTTTTGCCCTCAGCAAATTACTGTTAGGGTTTCCCCTTATCCCTGACCTTACCTTCTTCAGTGTAAAGACAGGCCTTTATCTATGACCCCATACTTTCCATTTGCTCAGGTTAACCCACTTACTGGGTGAGTCCTAATGTGATTTTCTGCTCCCATCTGCTATTGTTGGTTGGTTTTGCTTTGGGACTGACTGCTTCCCCATGCCTCACCTCTGGTTCATGACATCATGCCTCCTTTGTCTCCTCCTCTCACCATCCTCTCTGGATACCAACCATCATGACATGCCCTCTAGGGAACACTTTGTACTGTTCCCTTGAACATGTGCATGGTTTATGATCCAGCTCCATCTTAACTTTTTATTTATTTATTTATTTATTTTGAGACGGAGTCTTGCTCTGTCACCCAGGCTGGAATGCAGTGGTGCGATCTCGGCTCACTGCAAGCTCCATCTCCCGGGTTCATGCCATTCTCCTGCCGCAGCCTCCCGAGTAGCTGGGACTACAGGCGCCCACCACCACGCCCGGCTAATTTTTTGTATTTTTAGTACAGACGGGGTTTCACCGTGTTAGCCAGGGTGGTCTCGATCTCCTGACCTCATGATCTGCCCACCTCGGCCTCCCAAAGTGCTGGGATTACAGGCGTGAGCCACTGCGCCTGGTCTTAACTTCTTAATTTTCAATTCAGACTGGCTCTCCAGGGACAAAAAGAGTAAAGGCAGAGGTCTAGTGGCACTAAGTAGCCACTAGAGGGAAGCAAAAGCTAGGCTTTTCTAAAGGAAACACGTGCTTGGGTTCCTTGATCAGAAGACTGGTCCCAAAGAGACTCATACTACACTGGCTAGGGCAACCACCAGCCCTCAGAGGAAATATAAGACAAAAAAAATTGCATACAGTAGGTGGCACATATTGGGGGCCCAATACATGTTTCCTGGATGAAATTCCTAATTTTAGAAATGAGAAAGCAGAGACTAGGGCAAGTAATGGGATCTGATCACAAAACTAGGTAGCATCGGGGCCCAGTCTTGCAGATTCTCTTTCCCTTACCCTGTACCAGGCCTCTTCCTCTTCCTCCCTTCCGGCTCCCTCCACTATAGCTCAGCCCAGATGAACTACCTGTCCATCCCAATCTCAAAATATTTTTGGAGAAACTGTAGTCATTTGAGAGAGACTCTTTTCTCTACCCCTTATGTCTGATCTATCACTTAGTCCTGCAAAGCTATTAAGTCTTTCCTTTGTCTCTTGGAAGCCCCTATGCTCATCCAGGTGTTCATCACCTGCCTCTCCATTTCTGCAGGTGTCTCCTCATTAACTGGTCTCTCCCACTGTCCATTCTTCTCATAACACTCTCTTATTTCAGAATTTACATGGGCTCTGCCATCCTTGTCCTGGCATTCAAAGCCCTTCATAACACTTCCCCACCCACTTCTTCAACCCCAGCTTCCACTACTTGTCTGTGTATTTTATCTGCTTGATCTCTTGAGGGTGCCCCAAATGTGTCCTGGCCATTTCTGCCTCTGGATTTCCATGGATGGGCAATGTTCCATCTCAATTGTTTCCCTTTTCCTCTCCAGACCCTGTCTTTCCTGCTTTTGGAGGTCAAGTACAACTCTCAATTCCCCACCTCTCTCACATTCTTTCACAGTGATTTCTACAGTGATGTCCCCTTCCTGGGACTAATTTTGTTCATCTTACACATTTTAACACTGAAGCGGTGAGAAGGACATATTTTGGATGGCTTGTGTGTATATATGTATATATTATAAAACTTTTGTGTATATATGTATATACTATAAAACTAAAATAAAACAGTATTCCCTATTTGGCTTACTGAATAGTCATTTTTAGAGTGGCTTCTTAGTTTTATCACTTTTCTCCTATTTTATGGCATTGTTTCAACAATAAGGCATCCCAGAGCTCTGTGTTTGGCATTAGTCAGAAGGACCCGTGTATGTGTGTGTGAGATTTTGTGTGTGTGTGTGTGTGATTGTGTGTGTGTGAGATTATGTGTGTGTGTGATTATGTGTGTGTGTGTGTGTGTGTGTGTGTGTTGGCTTCTTGGGGTTTTCTTTCCTTAAAAAAAAGTCAGTATTTCTAGTCCATAATCTGTGTTTCAGTTGGCAGTGGCAAGATAGAGGAGGCTGAGGGAATTGGTAAGTCTAGGAGCTTATAGACTACATCATGGTGATTTATAATCTGGGTTTTGAACTCAGCAGCCCTGAGTTTGAATTCAAGTTCCACCACTGACTAGCTGTTAGCTGTGTTACTGTAGAAATGTTAAAGATATAAGTTCTCTTTCTAAGCTTCAGTTCCTCGTCAATAATATTAGAACACTCAGTTCAGTTCCTCATTCAAAAAGATTAAGATAAGTACCAACTTAATAGGGCTGCTGTTTCAATTAAAGATTATCATGCATGGGACCAGGCACGGTGGTTCATGCCTATAATCCCAGCACTTTGGGAGGCTGAGGCAGGCAGATCACCTGAGGTGAGGAGTATGAGACCAGCCTAGCCAAGATGATGAAACCTCATCTCTGCTAAAAATACAAAAATTAGCCGGGCGTGGTGGCACATGCCTGTAATCCCAGCTACTTGGGAGGTTGAGGCAGGAGAATCATTTGAACCCAGGAGGTGGAGGTTGCAGTGAGCTGAGATTGCACCATTGCTCTCCAGCCTGGGCAACAAGAGTGAAACTCCATCTCAAACAAAATAAAACAAAAAGATTATAATGCATGTGAACACTTGATACCTACTTAATGGCTGTTGTTATTATTTGGTGTGATTGAGCCACTGAGGTCACATGGAATACTCCCTTCTAGACCTTCTGTCCCATTTTCCTGCTGAATGGCTCAGTGGTGCTGAGCAGAGAGGGTTCAGAAGAATTGGACAGTTTTGCCTTCCATTTGATAGCTGTAAGAGATGGGGGCTAGATAGTATGGGAGATAATTAAAATGTAGGTCCCATTAGAATATTTGGGCTAGATTTAAGATTTAATAGCTATGGCAAAATACAAAGTCAAGATGGCAGACCCTCCAAAAACTGGGAAGAGAGGGCAATTTTATCCTCCTTTAAATATAAGTCAACCATACCAATATGGATTGAGAGCAGCCAGATAGTTTCAGAGAAAGCAGAGAAAGTTCTACTTATCTTATAAATTTTTACAGTTCTTTCTTTCCTGTACCCCTTCCCCTGTAGTTATGAGTTTGGTAGCTAGAGAGAGCCAGCTTGACTTGAAATATGTCCTGGACAAAATATTATAAAAAAGAAAGTGAACAAGGACTTGGTGATGAAAACTTAGGCCCTTGGGAATACCAACCACACTCGCTGAGAGTTCCTTGTGGCAGTGCTTAGATGGAGAGCAAATTTCTTTTTATCTTTAGGAAAAATCAGAACCTGGAGGAACACTTGGGCAAGTTATAGAAAACCTGGAAATTGCCCCTGTGAGAAGGCTCCTATGCCCCCATTTTAGCAAACAGGGAGAAGAATGAGCTCTTAGCTATGGAGATGGTCGGTAGTATCAACCTCACAACATGTTTGGTACATGTAAGAGAAAAAAAAGAGAGTCCCCTGCTTGAGCCAAAAGGTTTGGTATACATAGGGGTAAGGGGGTAGCTGGGGGGTGGGGAGGGGCACAACCATAACCAGCATCATGACAGGGGAGCCACATTGTAACCATCAGATATCCTTTCTCCCTTCCTGCTCTCCTGGGACTTTAGCTACAGGCAATATATTGGATTCCAATCTAGAGACAGTCACTCTGGGTACAGGTTGGGCATGGTGGCTCATGCCCTATAACCCTAGCACTTTGGGAGGCCCAGGCAGGAGGATTGCTTCAGGCCAAGAGTTCAAGACCAGCCCAGGCAACACAGCCCTGCCTCTACAAAAATAAAAAAATTAGTTGGCATGGTGGTATGAGCCTGTAGAACCAGCTACTCAGGAGGCTGAGGTGGGGGGATTGCTTGAGCCCTGGAGTTGGAGGCTGCAGTGAGCTACGATTGTGCCACTGCACTCCAGCCTAGATGACCAAGCGAGACCTTGTCTGTAAAAAATACTAAATAAATAAAAATTATTTTGGCCTGGCACAGTGGATTATACCTACAATCCCAGCACTTTGAGAAGCCCAGGCAGGAGGATAGCTTGAGGCCAGAAGTTCGAGGCCAGCCTGGGCAACACAGTGAGATCCTTGCCTCTATAAAAATAAATAAATAAAATTTAAAATAAATTAAAATAAATTAAAATGGAATTTAAAAAAGAGGTGCTCCTCTCCCGGTGCTTTGACCACCCCTTCTGGAGGGTTTTGGTCGACTTCAAACCAATTTGGTTTCTAAAAGGAAGAGACTGCATAGAAAGTTCTCCTTTAAGGCTGACTTCAAGTTCTTTGTTCATTCATTCGCTCATTCATTCATTCAACAAATCCGTGTGAGTATTCTGCCTCTGGATTCACAGCCAGGACAGAATGTAGTTCCCAAATACCTGCCCCAAGCCCACAGACATGTATCCCCAGCATATATGGGCCAGGATGTCTCTGTATTCTCGAAGTTCTCTCACAGCTAAGACCTTCCTAAACTGCATTTTTACCAGCCTCCTCCACCTGCTTCTCATCTCCCTGAAAAGGCTTCACTAGACTCTGAGACCTACAAGAGATCCTTCCGAGACACTCCCTCTCTCCTTTCAGCTGCATCTAAGATGGATCCACACTGGGCGCTTTTGGGTCTAAGACCATCCCCTATATTGTGAGGGTACAAGGTTTCCATGGTGAAGGAGGCATTCTGATTTTGTACTTCTCTTTCCCTAACCCCCAACCCAGCTTCCACAACAACCCTCTTCTATATTGGAGTCCATATGAAGTCACTGTTAAAATCACCACTGTCTGCCTTTCTTTCTTTCTCTCTCTCTCACTCTTTTTATTGACATAAGGTCTCACTCTATCACCCAGGCTGGAGTGCAGTGGCATGACCACGGTTTATTGCAGTCTTGACCTGCCAGGTTCAAGTGATCCCCCCAGCTCAGCCTCCCAAGTAGCTGGGACTACAAGGTACATGCCACTATACCTGGCTAATTTTTTTTTTTTTTTTTTTTTTTGAGAGATGGGGGTCTCACTATGTTGCCAGAGCTGGTCTTGAACTCCTGGGCTCAAATGATCTGCCCACCTCCCAAATTACCAGGATTACAGGTGAGACTGGCCATATCACTGCCTTTTAATCACTAAGCACTTTGACAAAGTAACAGAGTTGTCAACAAAAAGGACAATGGTGGTTATCTTCTTTTGAAAATGGCCATTGTATTTAAAAATGGGATTAGTGGCTAAGTGCCTTCCCTTTCCCATAGTAAGTTACTCTCCAGGTTTTCTAGTTGCTTCTGTTTATATTAAGGGAACTAGAAAAAGGGAGACGACTTACGGAAAAAATTCCTATGTGTGATCTCTGCTTTCTCAACCATAATGCATCTCTTTTCTCAGTCACGTGTGGGTGGGGTTATGTTCTGAGCTTGGGCTGAGAGATTTCAGAGTTAAGACGGTTGCTGTCCTTATCTAAAATAATGTTCCTTTAGAGAGGTCTGGGCTCTCTAGGACATCAAAGAAGCATCATCAAGGTGAGGCTGCATCATAAAGTCTCAGCCAGCATCCCATACCTTCCTTAATGGGGACGCTGAACAGAGGTTACATGAGACATCCACAATTAAGGTGGGATAGCCCCCTCACAGCAGGTGGGGCCCAACCCCCTGCCCTGGCCTCTGGGTTGAGGTTGTTGAGACCCAGCCTAGAGACTCCATCTCTTCTAGCAAAGGGCAGGAAGCAGAGGTCCCTCACCCCTGGGCTCTAGGACAGTCATGTCCCTGTGTGAGCTTCCCACACTGCCTACAGTTGCTGCCAGCAGCAATGAAATGGATTCTTGAAAAAAAATCTCAGCATATAAGATTTGAGAAAAGAAAAATACCCTACACATCAGGGACCCTTGAAATTATAGCAATAAATTTATGATTCATTCCCTAGGCATAAAACTACTGTGTTACAGCCACTACCAATGCCACTGAATTTCCCAGGGTCTAATGTTGACCTCAGGCTCGCCAGCAAAGGAGGAAGAACATAAGAGACCTCAATATTTAGAGGGTTTTACATTTCCTATACAAAAAAAGAGCAAACGAAGAGTGAAGAGCTAGCTGCTACAGTAAAAGAGGTAGGATTATTGGTCAATGTGTAGCAAATCAAATGTTAGGTAATATAGGAATTGTGGGAACCTTCCTGGTATCACATATTCTTAAATGCAGCAAGATCATAGAGAAAAAGCATGGATATCACTCCTGGCCTTAAAATTTAAGTGGGCTCCCTTTGTGTACAACAAAATCCTAACTCCTTCACAAACATCCTCTAGTACCTGCCTTTCTGATCTCACCTTATTCCACAGCAACTACAGTCTGCAGGCCCAGCCACACAGTGGCTTTGGTCAGCTTCCCTTCTGCCTAGAGCACCCTACCCTCCAGTCCACATCTGCCAAGTTGTCCTGCCCCTTTAGGATTGAGCTCAGTTTCCATACTAATTGATTAATTATCTTACTGATTCATTGAACAATACTTACAAAGTGCTTATTATGTGCCAGGCACTCCTTTAGGCCCTGGGGATACAGCACTGAACACAACAAACACTTTTGCCCTCATGGAGTTTGTATTCTTGAGGATGTAATCAAGATAATGACAAAATAATCAAGATGTTACATAGTGAGATCTATATCTATATCTATATAGATATATAGATATACATAGATATATCTGTATCTATATCGATATAGATGTATCGATATAGATAGTTTTGTTTTGTTTTGAGATGGAGCTCTGTCGCCCAGGCTGGAGGGCAGTAGTGCAATTTCCTCTCACTGCAACCTCCGCCTCCCGGGTACAAGTGATTCTCCTGTCTCAGCCTCCCAAGTAGCTGGGATTACAGGCACCCACCACCACGCCTGACTCATTTTTGTATTTTTAGTAGAGACAGGGTTTTGCCATGTTGGCTAGGCTGGTCTCGAACTCCTGACCTCAGGTAATCTGCCCACCTTGGCCTCCCATAGTGCTGGGATTACAGGCATGAGCCACTGCACCTGGCCCCCTTGTGATAAGTATTGAAGGGAAAAATAAAGCAAGGAAAGGATATGAAAAGTGCCAGTGTGCATGTATGGTAATGGAGTGGTTTGCATATCTTCTGCAAGGCTTTACAAACCCCACAGCTACTGAATTGTTTCCTTCCTTCATGTTCCCAACACACATGACAGTTTCCTTTATTACAGTATTTAACATAAGCTTAGGTAACTTCATGACAGAATTTAATGTAAGCTTCCATGTTATTTATATTTGGGCTAGTTACATATATGGGTCATGCTCTGCAACTAGAGTTGGGGTACCTAGAGGCTTTGTACCTTCAAACCCCTGCCCCTAGACATGATTCACATAGCATCTGTTCACTCAGTGTTTCCTGAATTGAAAGAAAACTCTGCCCACAGAAGTCAGAATCTAATGCACCCTTGCTTCTGTTTTTCCCTTGTCTTTCTTTTCTTATACTGTTCTCTCCCTGTTTTACCCTTTTGTTCACATTAGAGGTTTTCTCAATATTATCCTGAGAAGACATCCTTATAAATTAATTTCTCTTCTACTAATTACTGCCGAATGAGAATTATCTTTCATCAAGTAATAAAAAAAAAAAACCTGCTGATTTCTGATGGAAACTCATTTATAAAGAAAATGCCACATTAAAAGAAACCTGTGGTGTTTTGAAAATATGTCCACAAGGCCGGGCGCGGTGGCTCACACCTGTAATCCCAGCACTTTGGGAGGCCGAGGTGGGCGGATCAAGAGGTCAGGAGATCGAGACTATCCTGGCTAACACAGTGAAACCCCGTCTCTACTAAAAATATAAAAAATTAGCTGGGCGTGGTGATGGGTGCCTGTAGTCCCAGCTACTCGGGAGGCTGAGGCAGGAGAATGGTGAGAACCTGGGAGGCGGAGCTTGCAGTGAGCCGAGATCACGCCACCGCACTCCAGCCTGGGGGACAGAGTGAGATTCCGTCTCAAAAAAAAAAAAAAAGTCCGTAAATTTTTTTAATACCTCACCCTTCAGGGATTGGTGGAATTGAATTCCTCTCTCCTCTACTTGAGTGTGGGCTGGGTTTAGTGACTACTTCGAATGTGTAGAATATGACGGAAGTGTTGATGCGTGACCTCTGAAACTAGGGGATAAAAGGCATTGCTGCTTCCTCCTTGTTCTCTACTAAATCACTCACTCCGGGGGAAGCCAGCCACCGTGTCGTGAGGACATTTAAGCAGCCCTAGAGAGAGGTCCGCAAGGTGAGAAACTGAGGCCGCCTGCTGACAGCCATGTGAGGGAGCCACCTTGGAAGCAGATCTAGCCCCAGTCAAACCTCCAGATGCCTGCAGCTCCAAGCAACACCTTGACTACCGCCTCACAAGAAACCCTGGGCCAGAAACACCAGGCAAAGCCAATCTTGGATTTCTGACCCACAGAAACTACTACATAATAAATATTGTTTTAAGTCTCTAAGTTTTGAAGTAATTTGTTAGGGAGCAATAGATAATTGAGTGAGCGTTACTCTGGTACTATCAGTGACATTGAGGAAGTCAATTAACCTCTCTAAGCCTTGGTTCCTCATCTGCACATAAAGGGAGTTTGGGTCAGAGGACTCAAAGGAATGCCAATGCTAACAACTTATTCTCTCTGAACAAAGCACTCTAGGAATAATGCAGTTTGGGTCAGCTATGTGTAAAGGGTAACAACCTTGAGCTCTCTGGGCTATTTCTGCAGATTCTGACAACAAGGGGTAGTCATCTGAAACCAGAGGTACAAGCTTTGTGCCGGAAAGTGACATTCAATTTAGAAAGGGATATCCAAAAATCCTACAAATGGAATATTTTATGCTTCGAGGGACTTACAGGAGGTAATATAATATGCTTTACGTGGGTGTGGTGCTTCATAGTTGACAAAGTGTTTTCATGTGTATCATTTCATTTAACCCTTATAAATCCCTCAACAGAAATTTGAGGCTCAAAGTTGCTCCAAGTCACACGGCTACTAAGTTCCAGAGCTGAAAACTGAACCACAAACTCTTTGTTGTTAAATTCTATTTTCCATTACTTTCAGCCGCCTCCCTGATGATTTACTTATTTTATTTTGATTATAATATTAAATTAAGCAGGCCAAGGACATTGTCTAACATGGCCACAACCCCTTCTACAAGAAGCTGCCCTGCTTATAGCTGCTGACAAGGCAGGCCTGAGGCAGCAGCATCTTCTATCACATAACGCCAGTCCATTCTGTGCCCACAGGTGATTGGACTAGGGTGGGCACTTGGCCCATGAAAAGCTACCCTAAGAAGATCTGGGCTTTTCTTTTGAGACAGCGTCTCCCTCTGTCACCCAGGCTGGAGTGCAGTGGCACCATCTCGGCCTGGGGCAAAAAAATGATCTGGGCTACCTTTTTTTTTAGACAGAGTCTCCCTCTGTAACCTGGGCTAGAGTGCAGTGGCACCATCTCAGCTCACTGCAACTCCCACCTCCTGGGTTCAAGCAATTCTCCTGCCTCAGCCTCCCGAGTAGCTGGGACTACAGGCATGCACCACCATGCCCGGCTAATTTTTGCTTTTTTTTTTTTTTTAGTAGAGATGGGGTTTCACCACGTTGGCCAGGTTGATCTCAAACTTCTGACCTCAAGTGATCAGAAGTGAAATCCCAAAGTGCTGGGATTACTGGCGTAAGCCACTGTGCCCGGCCGATCCAGGTTATCTTGAGAGAGCTCTTTTCCAAGCAACTAAATGAATTTAACTAAAGTCGGTAGGACTGATGTAAAATTAGCAAAATAAAACTGCGTGGTTATAAAGGTCCAAGAATTATATGGGTTTTTTTTTTAATTTTAATTTTAATTTTTTGAGATAGAGTCTCACTCTGCCACCAAGGCTGGAGTGCAGTGGCGTGATCTCGGCTCACTGCAACCTCCGCCTCCTGGGTTCAAGCAATCCTCCTGCCTCAGCCTCCTGAGTAGCTGGGATTACAGGCATGTGCCATCATGCCTAGCTGATTTTTGTATTTTCAGTAGAGATGGGGTTTCACCACGTTGGCCAGGCTGGTCTCAAACTCCTGACCTCAAGTGATCCACCTGCCTCAGCCTCCCAAAGTGCTGGGATTACAGGCGTGAGCCACCATGCCCAGCTGAATCATAAGGGTTTTCTAAAACAAAACACATATACACAAAAACCTTCATGAATTCTGACAGTTAGGTAACAAAAACAGTTCTGTCGCCAAAGACGGCTTATATTTTATGCCACCAAGACACAGGAAATAAGTTCCACTCCCTCACAGAACAGGCTGTGACTAGCAACTAACCAACTGTTTTTCAGTTTTTAAGAAACTGTTTCCAACTGTGCTAAAGAGGTGACAGTCAGCCCAGAGTAATAGGGAGAACAATTAATACTTACATAGTTCCTAAGCTCTGCTGTGGGGGGTTGACTGGCATGCAGCTAGGGAACATGATCGTGAACCCCTAAATGTCAGCTGTGATGGACATAAACCAGTGCCTCACATAAGGCTTAGTTTTGGTAAGTGGTGCCCACGGAGTGGCCCTAGATCTGCCAAAAAATTGACCTTCACAGCACCATGATAGAGAGATACAATGTCAAGAGTTCTGGACTGAAAATGAAGAGCCCTGGATATGATTCCCAGCTCTGTGGCTTGGACAAGCAACTTTAACTTTCTAAGCCACGGTTATTGCATCTGTAAAACAAAAGGGTTGGACTAAAAGATTTCAAGGTCCACTCCAGCTCTCCAAAATTGTGTATATGTATGATTCAGAGTCTCAAATACCTGTGCATGGCTACCCACCCAGCTAGCCCTTCACCTTACACCTATGGTAACCATGTTATCATATTATGTCTAAAAAACTCCCAAATGAGAAACCAAGAAACATCGTCTGGCTACACGACAGATTTCTTTAAAATGAGAACTGCTCCATAAACTGCTTTATATATAGACCTGGGCGCATGGCTACCCTGACATATATTTTTCTTCTAAAAGAGCCTGAATGGGTGACTAAAAATAAAAGGGACTTCTTTGCATAGCTCATTTATCACATATGCATTTATAATAATTTAAAGTATTAAATGTGGCCGGGTGCAGTGGCTTACACCTGTAATCCTAGCACTGGGAAGCCAAGGTGGGCGGAATGCTTGAGCACAGGAGTTTGAGACCAGCCTGGGCAACATGGCAAAACCCTGTCTCATAAAAAATACAAAAATTAACACAAAAATTAGCCGGGTGTGGTGGCAGGCACCTGTAATCCCAGCTAATCGGGAGGCTGAGGCAGGAGAATCGCTTGAACCTGGGAGGCGGAGGTTGCAGTGAGTCAAGATCATGCCACTGCACTCCAGCCTGGGTGACAGTGAGACCCTGTCCCCCCCCCCAAAAAAAATTAGCTTGGTGTGGTGATGCATGCCTATAATCCCAGCTACTGGGGAGGCTGAGGTTGAGCCCGGGAGGTCAAGGCTGCAATGAGCTGAGATCACACCACTGCACTCCAGCCTGGGCAATAGAATGAGACCTATCTCAAAAAAAAACACAAAATGATACAAATAAAGTCAAATGCACAAAAATATACAAAACTCTGACTCTTGCTCTTTTTTTCTCCCTTCCTTCCTTCAAAAGAATCTGGAAAACCCAAGGCTTGTCTACCTTCTTTCTCTCAGGTTTTCCTATAAAAACACCAGTGGTCATAGTCCTTTCTTTATTCAGCACCTCACTAAACCTCTGGGCAAAGTATCTGCATTCCCCTCTGTTTTGCTTTGTGCTGAGCCATAGAGCTTGCAGCCTGCCAGGGGTGTGCAGGTGCGTCTGGTGGGTCTCAATGAGTTGGGTGCTCAGCTGTGCAAAAGTTAGATAATTATTGTCATGCTCATCCTTCCTAATGGAACAATGGTCGATGTTTTAAAGCTTCCAGCCTTCTACCTCTCAGATGGGAGAGGATTTGGAACTTTGTGGTCTATCTCCCTCAGAGGATCAATGCATTTTAGAGAGAAGATCTATCAGTCCCCAGAAGGCACAGAAAGCCTAAGTGCATGTGGGAGGTTTGCACTGCATTTTAATATCCCTGAAACAGGGTGGTAAGTAGATTTTTTCTTCTAAAACCCTCTCAATACCCATTTTAGAGCATTTCCTGAAATCCCCATCTGACTGCTTCCCTTGGCTCCCCTTCATCTGGCAGGCTACAGATCACATCCCCATAGTTGCATCTTTGGGAGTGGCACGTGCAGCCATCAGGGCTGCACAGAACTCAGTGGCACTTTCACAGTGATCTGCACCAGCCCCCCAGGCACCATGCGACAGCATGGTAGAAATGGCAGGAGGAGCACTGGGCTATGAGTCAAGAGTCTGGATGGCCATCTAGTTCTGCCCCTATGTGGACAGTGATCTTGGGCAAGCCACTGACTCTCTCCGGACCTATTTCTTCATCTATAAAGCAAATCTTCAAAAAAAGATCGAAAAGCATTCTTAAGTTCTAACTTAGTGCTCCAATTCGCAGCTTTCCCCAGGCAGAATTACAAGGTGGAGATGCCAAGACTCAGCGTGAGTGTGGTGGGAGAGTTGCTCCAGCCACTCTGAGCTCTGTGGCCTTTTGGGGCCCCACTATTCGCTCTGCTACAGGGTCGTCATTCTGAAAGGTATTCTGCTTAAATCTCCACATTCATCTTTACTGTTACAATGCCCTTGTGAAAGAAGTAAGGGGAAAGGTCTGTCTCCCTCCTGCTCCACCAGATAATATCTCTTAGGTTATCATCTAAGTTTCTCTTTGTACAAGTTTCTCTATGGAAAATTATCTTCTTTTAGTGTCATTTTGACCCAGAATACTCAGCACTGCTTTAAAAACTCATCCAAATGTCCCACCTTATTCACAATGCACACACACAACCTTCTCCTCTGACCAACAACTATCACCCAGTGATAATTTCTTCTTAACTACTTAAGACAAATAGTGCTCCTCTCTCCTCCCCATCTCTCGCATCCTGTCTCTGTCTCTGCCTCTGTTTCTCTGTCTCTCACACACACATACATACACACACACACACACAAACACACACACACACAAACACTCTTTGGCTCTTCAATATCACCTTCTTTGGTTCCTATATCAAGGTCACTCAAAATCGTCCTGCTGTGCTGAAAGAAGGCAGTGGTGAGAGAAGGTACATACGTTTTTGCCTCATGGTATATGTACTTGCACTTGTCAAAAGCCAAAATGTTATTTAATCTAATACATTTTACTTTTGTCAAAAATGTGAAGACAAATTCACTTCCAACACCTCCGTGGGGACTTCGACGTTTCTCACAATTCTTTTGCTTGTTTCTTTTTTGATTCCTTACCATATTATCCTCTTCTAAACCCTTTACATTCTTTACAAACTAACAAACATCTCATGAACAGAAGATTTGCTCACTACTTACTGAGAAAACAGAGGTCATAGAATGTGAGCATGCTCATCTTCCTTCTTCTCCTATTCCTCTACTGCCCAGAGAACCAGGTCCAAATCCCTGAGCATACCACATAAGGTTTCTCAGATCAACCTCTCAGTCTTTCCTACTCATCTGCTACCTAGACAGATCCTGCACGCCAAATCTCACCTATGCTTGCTGATTCTCAGACAGAGCCAACATTTTCCCAACTTCTTGACTTTTATTTATGATGTTTTTCTCAGCCTGGAATAGTTCCTTCCTTCCTTTCCCAAACCACACTTCTGTCATCTTCTGGAAATCCTTTTCCATCCTCGAGGCCAGTTCAAAGGCCACCTCATTCACGAATCGCCTCCATAAGCAGCTCCTGTCTGCATCATCACCACCAGCAGTTCCCAGTAACATCTCCCTACCTTTTCACTCTAGCAGAATGATATTTGTATCTCTATTCCAGCACATTTTTTGCCTTGGATGGTATTTGTCTACATTCCTGTACCTTTCACTGGATTGAAAGTATCGTGGTTTTAAAAAATTTCTCTTGGCCAGGCATGGTGGCTCACACCTGTAATCCCAGTACTTTTGGAGGCCAAGGCAGGAGGATCACCTTAGGTCGGGAGTTCAAGACCAGCCTGGCCAACATGGTGAAACCCCATCTCTACTAAAAATACAAAAATTAGCTGGGCGTAGTGGCACCTGCCTGTAGTCCCATATACTCAGGAGGCTGAGGCATGAGAATTGCCTGAAACCGGGAGGTGGAGGTTGCAGTGAGCCGAGATTGTGCCACTGCATTCCAGCCTGGGTGACAGAGTGAGACTCTATCTTAAAAAAAAATTCTCTTATGGAGTAGGTTTTCAATTATTGTCAACTGGAGTTTGCTGAAGTACATGGAAAGTGCTGTACTTCGCCTCATCATAAATTTGAAACTTCTACATCCCCTGCATGAAGATGTGGATTCTCTTATGTTTACTTTTTAAATTTCACATCTTTTTTAGTGTTTTAATTGAACTTTCTCAAGTCCTTTCAGAAATAAGTGTAGAGTGTATATTTTAAATGCCTTTTACTGGTTTATAACTTTGGGCTTTTCATTGTGGCATCATCAATTTTGAGGAAAATGTCTCATAACTCTTTAAAAATTGATCTGTCTTAAAATATATTTTAAATGTTAAGAAGGAAAAATACAACGCTTCTTTATGATATATGGAATAAGTTAGGAGTTATGAGTCTCAAGGATACCTTTGCTATACATTAATACTCTTCTGCACAAATAAAGTAACATCTTTTTCTGTACAAAGTAAGTACACAATGTGGAGGAGGAAACTAATTAGATATGTACAATGGATTGCTACTAGCAATTTTTCTGGTAATACAAAATAGAATGGAGGCTGGACATGGTGGCTCACGCCTATAATCCCAGCATTTTGGGAGGCTGAGGCAGGCGAATCACCTGAGGTCAGGAGTTCAAGACCAGCCTGGCCAACATGGCAAAACCCCATCTCTACTAAAAATACAAAAATTAGCCGGACGTGGTGGCTCATGCCTGTAATCCCAGCTACTCAGGAGGCTGAGGCAGGCGAATCACTTGAACCTGGGAGGCAGAGGTTGCAGTGAGCTGAGATTGCACCATTGCACTCCAGCCTTGGTGACAAGTGTGAAACTCCATCTCAAAAAAAAAAAAAAAAAAAAAAGAGTATGGATGGCAAAGACTTGCAAGTGCCTCCCAGAGTCCATCGTGCCCTTACTTCTTAGTAACGAAGACTCATTTTGGGTGGCTGGGGGAGACACATTGTTACCCAGTAAAAGACTACATTTCCCTGGTTCCCTTGCAGCTATTGCAGGCATATTATCACACTCTGGCCAATGGGATGTAACTCTTAGTGTTTGTTGCAATGGTCTTTTTAATATGGGGGATGGCACATTTTCCCTTCCCTTCCAACCTGCTCCCTGGAACACCATCCATCTAGGATATGAGAATTAGACTAAACCCTGGGAATGGTGAAGGAATCAGTTAGAAGGAGCCGGGTGCCTGAGGACTTTGTGGATCTTCTTTACCAGTCCTGGACCGCTTACCTGCAGTTATCTGTTATGTGAAAGAAAAATAAACTTCTCTGTTATTTAAGCCGGTGTCACCTGGGGCTTTTCTTTTATATGCAGCCAAGCCTTCTGATCCTGATCTAGATGACAGAGTCTTATGAAGGTAGACAAGGAAAGGTTGGAGATGTTTTTTAATCTCTGTGTTTTTCTATTCTGATCAGAAGAGAAAAGAAAATTCAAAAGCAGCTTGGATCAAAAAACCATATCTCATTGACAAAGGAGACAGAGAGTGAGGGGAATACCAGAGAGCTAATTATGAGTGCTCAGCCGACAGCAATGCCTGTGACACTCCTGATCTGAAACCCAAGTGACCAGACAGATTGAAGCAGACTGAAGGGGCAAGTTTTCATATCAGGTTGTGCTGTAGCACTCTTGGAAAACTTAAGTATAGCTGGTATAAGCAGAGCCAGAAAGTCTCTGCCTAAAAGAAAAGATGAGAAACAAGCTGTAAATTGGTGTAAGAAGTGAATACAGGGAACACTTGGAGTGACTGATGATGACTGAGTTTTGTGAGCATATCTGTACATAATCTTTTTCCAAATTTATTTCATTTTATATATTTTAATATATTCAAGGGTGTTTACAAGTTGCTAGTGTTTTAAAAAAAAAAACTTCTTTATAGGAAATATCCCCCCATCCACCTCATTTACTATATAATCATGCACTGTTTTTTAATTTTAATTTTTATATTTTTTGAGACAGGGTCTCATAGGCAGAAACAGAGCCAAGTTTAGTCTAGGATTTATTATTCCCCACTACTCAGGTTAAGACCCTTCTGAGTACTCTTCCTGATTCCTGGGAATTTGAGATTTTTTTACTCTGGCTAGAAACAGGCATTCTACCCCTCCCCGCATTGACGCCTGGAAACTCAAAGCAGTAAGCTGGGGTATTTGCAGGGTTCGCTTGGTTTGTTTATTGTCTCTCAGGGATCACACTGTCCTTGTTGTCTGATGTCCAGTGTCTTGAAAATTATTGTTTCTTATATTTTGCCCATTAAAAAAATTGTTTCAGGCCAGGAAGGAAATCTGGTTCTTACTTCTCTATCTTGCTTAGAATTAGACACCTCATATCTTCCTTCCTTACCACAGCTTCCTCTCCTTCCAATTTGCTCATTCAGGTACTCACACCTTTTGATCACCCCACTAGACTTCCAGTTCATAGAGTCCTTTACTTTCTCCCAATCCATCAATACTCTCTCTTCATCGGTTTCCTTCATATGTAGCTTAGATGCCATGACTCATTTTTATTTTATTTTACTTGAAGTTCTGGGATACACACGCAGAATGTGTAGGTTTCTTATATAGGTATACATGTGCCATGGTGGTTTGCTGCACTTGTCAACCCATCATCTAGGTTTTAAGCCCTCTGTGCATTAACTATTTGTCCTAATGCTCTCCCTCCCCTGGCCCCCCACGTCCCCACTGGCCCCAGTGTGTGTTGTTACCCCTCCTGTGCCCATGTGTTCTCATTGTTCAACTCCCACTTATGAGTGAGAACATGTGGTGTTTGGTTTTCTGATAAATGAACCAATTTTAACTAAAGTTCATATATTATTCAGATTCCCTGTTTTTACTTAATATTCTTTCTCTCTTCCAGAATCCCATTCAGGATTCCACATTACATTTAGTATGTCATCTTAGAATCCTCTTGGGTGTGACAGTATTTCAAGATTTCCTTGCTTTTGAATATATTGAGTTTTGGTGAGGTATTTTGTAGAATATTTCTCAATTGGATGTATCTGATGTTTTTCTCATGAGTAGACTGGGGTTATGGATTTGGTGAGGAAGAGCACCACATCATATCAAGGGTACGTGCTATCAACGTGACCTCTCACTGTTGATGTTTGATGGAGGTAACCTGTTGATAATAACCTGACTGAGGTAGTGTTTGCCAGATTTCTCCACTGTGAAGTTACTCTTTCCCTCCCTTTCACACTGTACTCTTTGAAAATAAGTTACTATACACAGGCCATAGTTAGAGTGGGGAATTATGCTTCACCTTTTGGAGAGTAAAGTGCATGGCTCATTATTTTAGTAATGCTCTTGCCAGTGTCCTTAATGTGCTTGCACCTCTCCACTCACTTAACCCAGCTGATTACATGACATATGCTCAACAGTTTCTTTATTTGTTTTTGGTTTTTTTGACACAGGCTCTCACTTCTCCCATCACCCGGGCTGGAGTGCAGTGGTGCGATCTTGGCTCACTGCAGCCTCAACTTGCCAAGCTCAGGTGACCTTCCCATCTCAGCCTCCTGAGAAGCTTGAACCACAGGTGTGCTCCACCATGCCAGGCTAATTTTTTTGTATTTTTTAGTAGAGATGGGGTTTTGCCATGTTGCCCAGGTTGGTCTCAAACTCCTGGGCTCAAGCAATCTGCTCAACTCGGCTTACCAAAGTGCTAGGACTATAGACATGAGCCACTGCACCTGGCCTTGCTCAATATATTTTTAAATGAATGGATAAATAAATGAGAGAGAAAATGGAGCATATATGTTAATTTCTGAAAACATCTGTGCCTATATTTCAAGCTAAATAATTTTTAAATTATTTTTTATTTTAACTTTTAGTAGAGATGAGGTCTTGCTGTGTTGCCCAGGCTGCTCTTGAACTCCTAGACTCAAGTGATCCTACCACCTTGGCCTCTCAAACTGTTGGGATTACAGGCATGAGCTACCATGCCCAGCCATAAACAATTTTTTAAAAATTACTATTTTACAGTATCTATGTCTCTTTTATCAGTATAGATAATAATTATGTATATAATTATATATATAATTAGGTTATTATTTATATATAAATATGTTTTTTTCCAATTCAACATTACTTAGGATGTGTATTTGTTTTTTTTTTTTCCCATAAAAGTCATGGAATTATTGGTAAGAACTAATAGGAAAGTATACTGATTAAAAAAGAAGGAAATGTAGAAATCAGTTTATATTACTTTCCACTGTTACAGATTAGGAAACAGTTTTTTTCTTTTGTTTTGTTTTGGAGACAGAGTCTTCCTCTGTCGCCCAAGCTGGAGTGCAGTGGTGGGATCTCAGCTTACTGCAACCTCCGCCTCTCAAGCAATTTTCCTGCCTCAGCCTCCTGAGTAGCTGGGACTACAGATGTGTGCGACCCTGCCTAGCTAATTTTTTGTATTTTTAGTAGAGACAGGGTTTCACCACATTGGCCAGGCTGGTTCTGAACTCCTGACCTCAAGTGATCCGCCCACCTCAGCCTCCCAGCATGCTGGGATTACAGGCATGAGCCACCATGCCCAGCCTAGGAAAAAGGTGTGGATAAGAGATGATTGGGCTAACACATTTTTCAAAGCTCATATACCTGATCAATAGCAGAATTAGGATCAAAACTAAATTTCCTGATTCCAACCCAGTGTTCTATGCCATTACAGTGCTACATTTTCTTGCCCAGGTTTGCAGATAATCTGAATGTGGTTTACATTGGAATTTGCCCTGGCAGTGATACCACAAGCTACGTAATAATGGAGTAACTATGTGATTTCTAGAGCAATGTCATGCAATCTTATAGGATTACTTATAAGAGGTGACATGACATATGTGGCATGTTCTTACACTTATGTAAAACATGCTTTGCAACATTGGTCAGTGACTCTGCTATTGGGGATTCAGTAAGTTCACTTCCCTACCATGCATCATCTACTGTGTAGAGAATCTTATGCCAGATGCCAATAGAGAACTCCACTGGTTAGCATATGAATAATATAATAAATTAAGCTCTAAGATACAGAAGGCTCATGTCCCACTAGACTCACCAGGCCATTGTACCCTAAGAATTGGTTCTCTAAGTCTTGAAAAAGTTCCAAGAAGAACACGAAGCTTTCTTACCTTTATACTTTAAACATTGACGTTAGCACTGACCCCCTACATATGAGACCTATCATTCATGGACAGGGGTGAGTAGAAATTAGGGTAGTAGGACTGATATGGTTTGAGTCTGTGTCCCTGCCCAAATCTCATGTTGAATTATAATCCCCAATGTTGGAGGCAGGTCCTGGTGGGAAGTGACTGGATCAGGGAGGTGTTTCTCATGAATGGCTTAGCACCATCCCTTTTGTGCTGTTCTTGTGATAATGAGTAAGTTTTGTGAGATTTGGTTGTTTAAAAGTGTGTGGCACCTCCCCCCTCACTCTCTCTCTTGCTCCTGTTCCTGCCATGTAAGTTTCCTGAGGCCTCCCTAGAAGCCCAGCAGATGTGAGCATCATGTTTGCTGTACAGCCTGTGGAACCACGAGCCAATTAAACTTCTTTTCTTTACAAATTACCCAGTCTCTGGTATTTCTTTATAGCAATGTGAGAATGGACTAATACCAAGATTAACAGAAAGCAAACCATGAGCTAAACATAAATAACACTACTTCAAGGTGTAAATTGGAAATTCACATATACAAATCTGTTGAGTAGAGCCAAAATTTGAAAATCTATTTGAGTTAAAGCCAAAATATAAATATTAGAGTCCAAATGTAAATTATTTGCAAGTATGATTTGTTGTTAACTGCTAAGGTAGTCATTCTGACACTCACCAAATATTTCTGCCTTCTGGATATATAACTCAATTGCTTTTCCTGGGCTCTTTGTGATTGAGTAGGTCTATGTGACTAGTTCTGGTCATTGGTGTTGAGTCATTTCCAGTTTGGAGCATTTAATTGTGGGAGTAAGAACATTCAGAATTATCTTTCTGTCTGGGATGGTAACTGGCAACTTTAGAAGTTGGTCAACCAGAGAATCCCTGAGGGCCTATAATGAACAGAGCCCCCTGCTATGGATAAAACTACATTACAAACATGTAGTGTTAACAAGAAGTAAGTCCTTGTTGTTTAAATCCACCAACATTTTTAGAGTTGTTACCATAGCAAAACTTGGCTTATCCCAACAGATATATTCACTTTTGTTCTCGATTGAATTGTCTTAGGGATGAGTATTGGTAGGAGTCCGGGAACTTTGAAAGAGTGGCAGGAAAAATAAAGTTAAGAAAGGGAGAGAGTTATAATGGGGCCATACTAAGACAAATACAAACTGAATGCAATTATAGCCGACTTACTGGATTTTATTATTGTTGTTACTACTACTATCATGATTATTACTAGCAGTTCTTAA
Source organism: Homo sapiens (assembly GCF_000001405.40). Taxonomy (NCBI): domain Eukaryota; kingdom Metazoa; phylum Chordata; class Mammalia; order Primates; family Hominidae; genus Homo; species Homo sapiens. The sequence goes on along the minus strand of NC_000003.12, from coordinate 124,530,672 downwards.
AACAACCCGGCTTGTAATCCTCGCACTTTGGGAGGCTGAGGATTACTTGAAGTCAGGAGTTTGAGACTAGCTTGGGAAACAGTGAGACCCCATCTCTACAAAAAAATACAAAAATTAGTTAAGTGTGGTGGTACACATCTGTAGTCCCAGCTACTCAAGAGGCTGAAGCAGGAGGATCACTTCAGCCCAGGAGGTCAAGGCTGCAGTGAGCTATGATCACACCACTGCACTCCAGCCTGGGCAACAAATAAAAAAACAAAAACAACCTGAAGATGACTGCCATTACATCAAATGACTCATCTTCGGTGTTGGACAGAGATAAAAAGGGAGGCGAGATCATTCTAACTTTTGGACCTCTCAGGATAATGCAATAGCTATTCCTATCCTACATGGTATGAATTTTGTTCCCTGAGTATTTATATTTTCTCTCTCCCAAATGGACTATATGATTCTTCTAATTAAGGATATTTTCTATCCCTTTTATGTATTTTTGGAACAGTCCTAAAGCTCATTAAAATCAAGCTGAAGATCAGCTTCACTTGCTACCAGGGAATTGGCATCAGATGCCACTGTTGACCATTTCTTGGGCTGACTCACAATAGATGGATTGATTCTCACATTTTCATTTCCTGGAGCTTCAGGAATGTTGAATGAGATGGGGGTGGGGCAGGGCAGAGAGAAGCGCATTTGCAATCAACACTGTCTTTGAGACTTCAGTCTTTCTCATTGGTAACCAACTCAGTGAAGCAAACCAAATGAGGGACATTTTTCAAATCTGACTTCTCATAGCAGTTGTTTCTTTCTTTTTTATTTGACATGTGCCCTGTTGGATTTATTCTCTTGTTCATTGTTCTTGGCCCTTGGTGCTTTTTTTTTTTTCCATCTTCCCATTTTCCATTCTTAATTAGAAATGATCTACAGGGCCCCAGAAGTCAAGTAGCACATTTAAAAGCTCATGTGTAGAATAAAACTGTGTTGAGAGAAGAGTTGGCATTTATCAGAATTATTTGAATTGTCAGTGACCAAACCACCCTGTAGTTTCCCACATCTGGCTGTGCACCTGGGTTCCACTGTCCACCTTGATTATGGCCTTAGAGCTTCTTTGCTACCTGAAAACCTAGCAAAGAAGCTCCAACGCTATAATTTGCTAGGTTTAACAGGCCCTACCTGTTAAACGACCCTGGCCCTCGATTCTGGATTTGAGTTTTGCCTACCAGATCATGCATCAGACCTGTCTTCCACTCTTGCATTATCAAGAACTGGAACTCAAGCAGCATGCTCCTTGTTTTTGCCAAGTATAACATCATTCTGGAGAACTTCCTACTCTTCAGCACTGCAACAGGGGAGGTCCTCATCTACCAGTCTGCTTGCACTAAAGATGGGAAGTTTTTCTCTCTCTGTTTCTGTACACTAAGGAGACTGCACTTGCTGTACATGCTATGTAATTGTACTTGCATTATCTACAATGTGTCAGATACTAGCATAGGTACTGGGGATATAGCAGTGAAGAAAGCAGACAAGAATCCCTACCCTCATGGAACTTATCCTGTGGCAATTACCAGTTTGGGTACTAGTATGATTTGACACGAATTTTATAAAACTATACTGATTCTTTATCCAGCTAATGATCTACACGTACATATAAGTTCAAAAGTTTTTGCAATCTACAGATGAGTCTGAGTCATGTTCAAAATTAAATTTTTATCAGGATAGGACAAAAAGATGGTTGACCTATATGGGTATGTTTAGAGCCCCCCCTGCTGAGCACAAGTATAGATCCAAGAAAATAGAAAATAACCAAGTATTACATTTGATTTCTCATAGCCACATAGAGAATGTGATTTTGTTTGCTGTTACATTACTTGGCTCCTATAACAAGACCTGAGTTGGAATGAACCTGCCCCATTCAGCCATTATCTGGAAAGGCTAACCAATGCCATCTTAGACTAATTTTTCAACATAGCAATGGCAAACAACCTCCTGAACTTAGTCTTGCAATGTATCTCTCTAGAGCTAACCTTAGCATTAGATGGTAACTAGTACACAATGAATGGGAGGGTGGGTGTGTGTGCTGGTACTCTAAGCTCCCCTCCCATTTGGCTTCAACTTTAAAAGCTTGTCTCTTGAGGGCACACTGAGGCAGTTGGGAGGAGAGAGCCAGGTTCTCCTTAACTCTCGAGTCTGCTGCATAAATTTGATGAGTCCTAAGTGGGGCTTGGGGAGAGGACATAGGGAAGCTACATTTACCCACAACTGTGACTGAGCCATATTCCTGCTGTCATGGCCTCAGATCTAGGTTGAACATACCTACTACTTGGGCACAGGGAACCAAGCAATAGGTATACTCTATATGAATTATTATCCAAAGACCGTAACAGGAATTCCTGCACCTCTTCACTGGGTCCCCTGGAGTTCTGTCCTATTTGTGATAAAGCAAACCGGGACTTTCTCTGTCCTTGTACTAGTTACCATGGTGGGTCTCCATGCAGGCATTGTTGGAAACCATGCTTCCTGCTGCTGCTGAAACTTTATCAAACTAGACTGGAGGGACTGTACAGTCTGCTGGGAATCAGGAGGAAGTAGCCAAAGGGAATTAATATTTTTAAACCTCTTAGGGACAAAACAAATACCTGTCACACTATTCAGAATCTGCAATGCCCCTTTAAGCTTCCCTTGATTTATAAACAGTGCATGAATAGTATGAATTCTTGGCTCCCAGATTCATATAGAACTTGGACCAAACCTTGATTTGTTTTCACGAATCTCGCCATGTGAACTTGAAGGATGTTTAACCACACCATAGGTGAGGTCATCATCACTTTGAATGGAATCTAGGTTCTTCAAACCTAGGCTGATGTCATATCAGAAAGGCTTCTCTTGACTGCTGGTAAAGGATGGGGGAATAGTTTGAGGTTCCCACTTGACTTCTGGGGTACATTTCTGGGCACCCTCTTCGCTTCAGTGGAGGCATGAAGACTGGGGCAGACGCTATCTTATCTGAGAGTTCCTACTTGCTCCTAGATAAAATTGCTTCTCCCCAATGCTTCTTCTTCTTCTTCTTTTTTTTTTTTTAAACAGTCTTGCTCTGTCGCCCAGGCTGGAGTGGCACAATCTCGGCTCACTGCAACCTCTGCCTCCTGGTTTCAAGCGATTCTCCTGCCTCAGCCTCCTGAGTAGCTGGGACTACAGGTGTGTGCCACCACATCTGGCTAATTTTTTGTATTTTTAGTAGAGACGGGGTTTCACCGTGTTAGCCAGGATGGTCTCGATCTCCTGGCCTCATGATCCTCCTGCCTTGGCCTCCCTAAGTGCTGGGATTACAGGTGTGAGCCACCATGCCCAGCCAATCTTCATGCTTTTTGTGGGAAGTAATAAAGAGAGATTTATAAAATCTTCTGTATGTTTCTTGCAAAACCCTTACCTCTCCATTTCCCCCGACACTCACAGACTCATTACTACTATCTGCCTTGAGATCATCTGGATGAATTTCCTAGTGCTCTGTAGCCCTGATTGTGTCAGTCATTGGATCTTAGTTTCTCCCTGCACTCCTTCCTCATCTCCTGCACTCCCTACATTCCTTTGCAGCTTTATTTTTCACCATAACATGTATCATCATCTAGCATTTTATATACCTTACTTATTTGTCTGTATTTCCACCAGAATATAAACTCCATGAGGGCAGGAATTCTTGTCTGTGGTTGTTGTTGTTTTCTTTTTCCTGTCTAGAATAGTGCCTGACACATAGTAGGTATCTAATAAATAGCTGTTGGATGAATAAATGAATGATGTGATGGATACCCAGTACTTCTTGAGAGTCACTAATTATTAGCAATACACATTCTCTTGTTTTGGAGACGTAACTCCTTCATTGGCCTCTGGGGGAGGTATTAGCCATTTCTATAGTCTCTGATAGTGGAGGGACTCTCCAGAATCCCAATCATTATACTATTTTGGACATAACCCTTTATAGCCCTTCTCATGTCAAACATTTACCAAAGATGTGACTAGTGGTGCTACTCTATCTAACCCTCCACATCCTTACTCCTCCTACCCCTGCTCCCATATGCACTATTATTATCATTATTATTATTATTTTTTGAGACACAGTCTCGCTCCATTGCCCAGGCTGGAGTGCAGTGGTGTGATCTTGGCTCACCACAACCTCTGCCTCCTGGGCTTAAGTGATCCTCCCACCTCAGCCTCCCAAGTAGCTAGGACTACAGGTGCACGCCACCATGCTGGGTAATTTTTGTATCTTTTTTGGTAGAGATAGGGTCTCGCTATATTGGCCATGCTGGTCTCGAACTCCTGGGCTCAAGTGATCTGCCCGCCTCAGCCTCCCAAAGTGCTAGGATTATAGGCATGTGCCACCCACCTGGCTCCATATGTATTTTTATAAGACTTTTAATCGAGAAAAAACAAGTTATCCAGATTTTTTACTATTATAGCCAAATTTGAGGTCTGAGGCATGTTGGGAAACTGGCATGTGGTGATGATCTAAGCAATCCCCTTTGAATGACCATCACACTCACTAGGCTCATTATTTTCTCACTTTAATTTCTGAATCATTCACTCCTCAGAAGCCAGAAATGCTGGGATGGCTTCATGGCCTCTCCTGGAAGGCTGTGAATGTGTGTAGCCCTACAAGCAACATATTGCTGTGCCATTAAACTGAAATGTCATCACTTTTATTCTACAACACCAACCAATCAATCAAGGACTCCAAGGACCCTGTCCCCCTCCCACCCCTCCACCTCTTTAATGACCTATTCCATCTCCAAGCCTGCCTATGTGGCTTTGCAGGGTAGACAGAGAGTACTGTGTTGGCCTGGCTTTGAGGGTTATACCTGTGGCTCTCCTACAAGTTTGTTGGTTGAATAGTCCCAGAAATACCAAAACATAAAGCAGTAGGTCAGCATCCTTAACAGCAAACGAGAACACAGGAAAGTCTGAGAAGTACAAAGCCTCCTATTTTCATTGCTAACTTCCAGCTGGCCTTGGAGAAGCTCAATTGTGTCAATCAATTTTATCAACCACTTGCTTTTCTCAAGGCCAAGATCCCAGGCAAGTCCTCGTGAATCTGTGAGACACCAGAGCAACACTCAGAGTGCTATCCTTACAGGTCACTCTCGGAGTGACAGTGCCATACCAATAAAATCTAAACTCTCTTTCTACATCAATTATTTTTTATCCCCACCCCCAACCTGGTACTTCCCTTTACTCAGATGCATGCCATAACAACCACCCAGCAGAACTCAACACAGGCAAATCTAAAACCTCCACATTATGTTAGGTATAAAGCTGATTAGAAGGTCACCATTAATAGGTAACAGAATCACTGGACATCCTTACAGATAGAATAACTTTCCTTATTCCACCATCCCAGAAACTCAAAAGCAGACACATAGAAACCCCCTCTCCCATCACTGCTATTTCTGAACTCTCTAAATTCTAACTACGGCTACCATTATCCATGTCCACATCCACCCATGGTAGGCCTGGCTGTACTATCATGCCACTGGCACCTTTGATGGTCATTAGTAAGCCTGGATATAAGCACTGTGCTGAGAAAACTCTCTTCAGGGCCAGGACAGGTTTTCAGAACCAGTAAAAACAGGTTTCAAAGGACAGATCTGAGAACCAGCTGCATATCTACCCTGAACCCCTGGCTTGTGATTCTATTCACGAAGCCCAATCTAAAAAAGAGTGGTCAGAGGCTGAGCCCCTCTAAGCTGCTGAGAGTGTGAAAGGTGCTACACCTTCAGGTAGCTCCACACAAATGGGAGGAAGATGTGTGGTCACCTAACAATCTTATCTTTAACTCTGACTGCACTTTTGGTTTTCTAAACTTGTCTTCCTTTCTGGATTATAAGTTTGAAATATATTTAAGAGACTCATCCTCATAAAAACTGGCCTTTGACACATTTCCTGTGCATATGTATTTGTGTACCTATATGCACATACATACACATTGTTGGACTAGGATCTGAATCTTTCTTATGGGTTCTCTAATACTGATTCAGCTCATTGAATCTTGCATTCCACTCTCTCCCACAACTCAACCTGTTTTCTCTTATGTTCAGTCCTTGTGTTGCAGTGAACATTAATTTTTTTAAAGGATAGTCATTTTCACAGCACACTTTGGAGTCTAAAGCTCAGCAAAACCACATTCACACTGGATCTTTCATCAATATGAAACTTCTAGTCATCCAAGCTTTATGACCCACATATATCAGTTTCCATGGTCCACACATGGAATGTCTACAGCAGATATTAGATCCTATACTGCTCCCTGTTTACCATGCTTTTGGGCTGCCGATACATACCTATCTCTGTGTGTACTCAGAATCGCAGACTAGTTCTCCTTCCTCATCCCACTTTTCTCTTCCCCAGGTGTATTTTATTTCCTAATGGTGCCTATTTTATGTTGGAGCTGAAAAAACTCATCAACTAGCTTTCTTTGAGCATAGAGTACAGAGAATGAAAATGGGGAGCAGCTTGCGTGGGACTGTAACCCACATAGAGAAGACATCCGGATGTTTATGACTCCATGTGATTTAGGGAGTGGTTCTATAACATGCCATGTTCTTTGAGGATAGGATTATTTCAAACTCATTTTTGTAGCCTGTTCAGTGGCTCTTAGAGTGTCTGATACATAGTAAATGTTTACTGAATAAATGAATGGTCCCAATGGCAGTAGAGAAGGAAGAAGATGTAAGAATATCAATGTATTGGGTGACAGATGAGAGCAGATTTAGAAATTAAGCTTCTAAAGCCTTGGGCTGCTGGATAGTCAAAGACAGTATAGAAGCAGAAGGAAGATAGCTCCTTGTGACCCACAGGGTCCCTACCATGAGAGTCAATGGGAGACCTCACTGTCTCACCAAGAGGAGACAGTGCAGACATGGAGAAAATGACTAGAAGGACAAGAACTGGAAAAAAGGATTTTATGCTTCATTTCCATTTTTTGTGGAGGGGTAGGTAGATTTAAATACTCAAGAATGTGATTAACCAGTCATCAGATATAACAAAATCTACTCTCATTTTGCTGGGTACTTTCGTGAAACAGAAAACTTTCAATTATCTCTACTAATGGAATGAAAGCAATGGTACATATAATCAAAATGTCTTTTCTATTTGCCTTTGGAAAGGATTATGTGTGTTTTCCCCCAGCAGGTTTGCTTTCATAATGCTAAGTTCTAGCTTAGGCTAATAACAAAATGAGTTAGCATTTTCTCCGTAAAATACCCAGTGGAGAAGAATAAAAATGTGTTTATGGCAGAAGAAACTGATGCAGGGCCTAGGACGTGACATAGTTAATCACTTATATGAATAATCTACTTGCAGCAAGTGGGATTCTGAACAGGGCAAAAGACCAAGAGCAGCTGTATGTCCTGGATTTTAATGATCCCAGAATAGATGTCTCAGGCGAAAGCTATAGCTAGTGTTATGAAAAATGTTAATGGAGAAAGAAAAATGGAATAGGAGTAAGAGATCTGGGAGTCTCAGACTTGATAGCTCAAGGGAGGCCATATAACCTCTTTTTGTCTCAATTTTCTTATTTATAAAATGTAATAATTCATTTGCACTGCCCACCTAGTAGGTTAACTGGTCAAAAGAAAGTAGTGGTCAAAAGGGCTTATAAAAGTATTACGTTATGAAAATGTAAAGCATTGATAGACAAATAATGAAATACTGTTGGCACCTCCTTTCAGGACACATCCCTTGTTTAATTCCTCCATGCTTGGGGTCTTTGGCTGTGGCTTCTGAAACTTACCCCTGTTCAAAAAAATAGTCCAATTTTTAAACGATTCTGCTGTTTAAGGATAACTACTTTGATAACATCCATGCATCCTAATGAATGGATGCCTCATTTCTCAGGCAATAGCTTCATTTTAACAGGAACCTCCTAGCTATAACAGCTTAATTTAGTGGTTCTCAGACTGTGGTCCCTGGACCACCAGCATTACCTGGGAATTTGTTAGAAATGCAAAGTTTTGTATCCATCCAAATCTTATTGAACCACAAACTCCGGGGGTGCAGCCCTGCAGTCTGTGCTTTAACAATCCTTCCAGGCAATTCTGATGTACACTCAAGTTTGAGAACTACTTCTTTAGTGCCCCACAAAAAGGGAATGCTAGGAATTGGGCATTGGTACATGCCATGAGAAGCTTTTTTTTTCTTTTCCTTTTTCTGTAAGGAGTAGGAAGCAGCTTGTGGGACTTTTCAAATTACACAATATGCTGGCTATTCAGAGCTAGGCCCACAGCGACATGTTAAATCATGTCAAATGCACTGTCACACTTAAAGAGATATATTTATCACCAATTCATTTGTATATTTGTATATGTATAGTATATATATGTATGTGTATATGTACATATGTATATATATAATGATGACTCAGTACATCATTTTCTCAGGAAGGTCTTACATATGTATCTGTATTATATAAATTATATGTATATATGCCTGTGCATATGTACATATGTATGTATATACATACATTTATTTGTCACTAAATAAAGAAAATGATGTACTGAGTACATCATTTTCTCAGGAAGGTCTTTTTCCTGACTACCCTATTTAAAAATGCATCTCTACCTTTGGCACTCCCTACCTTCCTTTCTTATTTTTCTTTGATTCTTCTAATATGCTGTGTTATTTATTTTGTTTATTGTCTGTTTCTCCCAGCTAGAATGTATGCTCCATGAGGGCAGCCTGTTTTGTTCACTGCTGTGTCCCTAGCTCCAAGAACTGTGCCTGGCACCTAGTAGGCACTCAGTATATATTTGTTGAATTAATGAGTGAATAAGCAACTGCTGAATCTGGGAGATGAGAAAGTATTGGGGTGAGACCAAAACACTGAAACACCTGTAAGCACCCTTATTAGTCAGTGTCGCTACAGCATGGGAGCCTTGCCTCTCTCTGTTTCTGCTCTGGGCTCCGAGATAACTCTGAAAACAAGCTTTGGTAAGTGCCACCCTGAGGGATTTAGTTCACTATACTCTTTAATTATCATTTCAAAATACTCTCTGTTTTTTTCTAAAAATGGCAATAGTGTCCTGATGGATCAACATGATTATATGGCTGGCTGGGGCTTGGGGGCAGTCTATTATGGATATGCAGCAGACCAGAGTGTGACATATTAGGGTAGGGAAAACAGTTTAAGAATGAAAATCAGGAGTTCTGAGTTCTAGTCTTTATTCTGGCCCTAACTTGCTACATGGTCTTGGGCAAATTGCTTGGGCAACTAGCATTTCTGGGTCTCAGTTTCATCAGTTGATCTCAATGATCTCCAAGGTCCTTTTCAGTTGTATTTATATATCCACTCATGTGTTACTTGACTAATATCTGTCTCCTCTACTGGTAAGCTCTGTGAGAACAGGGACTGTTTACTCACCCACTTCATAATGCCCAGCGCTTGGAGGCACTCGAAAAATATTTGCTAAGTAAACAAATCCCTATGAAAACCAAATGGTGATTTCCGCCTCATCAGCCTGTGCTCTACACAACAAGGCAAGGGTACATGGATGTGTGCTGCAAAGACCCTGGCCGTCAGGGATCTCCAATCACACAAGGAAGAGCAGGACACTGGTCTGCACCCCGAGGGCATACAGAACTGCATAGTTCCTTGATGTGAACACCTGTGGGAGGTGTGCAAGGAAGACCCCAGGCTGGGCACCTGGGCCATCAGCCCAGTGACCTGGAAAAGCATGGATTTGGGGATGAGAGATCTGAATTTGAATCACAGATCTGCTATGTTCTGGCTGTGAGTTTAAGTTATCTACTTCTCTTCATTTGGAAAACAAAGTACTACCTGCCTCTCAGGATGGCTGTGAAAATTAGAGGATATCAAGTGTCTTCCTGGTACTTGGTGTCAGAAAAGCGCCCAGTGAATGGAAACCTCCTTGACTGGTTCTGCCTCCCCTTCCTTTTATGAAGCCTTTAAGCCATGAGGTTCTTAACAATGCCTCATTTCCCAAAGAGTTGGCCCAAGTTTGTTACTAGCTCATGGGAGTGCCTTAGCTCAGTGGTCCCCAACCTTTCTGGCACCAGGGACTGGTTTCATGGAAGGCAATTTTTCTATGAATGGGAGGGGCGAGCAGGTGGGTAGGGGATGGTTTTGGGATGAAACTGTTCCATCTCACATTATCAGGCATTAGTTAGTCTGCAGCCCAGGGGTTGGGGACCCCTGCCCTAGCTAGTCTTGGCTGGAGGGGCATAAAGATTAGGATTAAAAGTGTTTCTCAAAATATCTACCTTCAGAGATATATATATTTCCCTTTTGCTTCCAGTTTGCCTAATGAGATTTTGAGATTTGTAAATTGCTATAGCTTGATATCAAAAGGTTTAATTTTGTAAATAAAATTTTACCATTGATTATCACTTGAACGTGCTGAGGACTACCACTGAAAAAAGAAAGTTTGAAGTTTGCCTTTCTCTCTTTTTGGCTGCTTTTCTCTCCCTTCTACCCTGCTCCCTCATTCCCTCCTGGGGGAGTCAATTATACTCCTGTTCCTGCCCTGCCCCCTCCTCTGCCTTCCCCCCACCACACTCCTGTTCTACCTATGATTATCTTTATTCTGAAAAACAAATTCTGTTGCTAGGCAACCAGAAGACAAAATTGCTGTGGTTGATATGATTCTCATTAGTGCTGCAATTGCAGTGGTGCCGCCATCATGCCGGACACACGCTCATTGCATCTGTCCCCAGCTTGACAGATCTTTCTGGAAAGTGGGATGGGAAGGGTTCTTGGCAGAGAATTAAGGGCCTCAGCACTCAACAGAAAGTATTTATAAATCACTGTATATCAACAGCCTGCTTTAGAATCATTTTATTAGAACACATTCAAGAAAGTGACATACGGAAAAAAGACAGCAGCAATTCTCAGTCATGCAAATGCCCGTGTTAAAGTTCTCCATTGGATTTAAATTCAAGTACAAAGACAGTCCTTTCCTGAGCCAGGTGCAATTCCAGAGAATGACACTTTGCATTGAGAGCACGATTCCTTCGAAAAGTTCAGAACACTGAACAAGTCACATCCTCACAATAAGATTGTGAGATACATAGAAGTGTAAACTTTTTTAAGGATCCCTTTACCCTGCCCTCCCCCATAACCCAGCCAGGGAAATAAGCCCAACTTCAGGACCTCTCAGAAATCAGGTTTAATCTATTGAAAATAAAGCAGTGGGCCTTTAAAAAAAGTTAGAAAATGAGTGTATATATGAAATGGAATCATCATCTCTGCCTCTTGCCTTGGTGTGGGGTTTCCATGAAACTCTGTGTTTGGGGTTGGGGCTCTCTCTTGAGTGTGTTGGAAACTGGAGGACTTTTAAAACTTTTTTATTATGAAAAATTGCAAACAAATACAGAAGTGGGGAGAATGGTATAATGAATGTCCACGTACCATCATCTAGTTTCAACAATTATCAACATGTGGCCAGTTTTTCATTTATATCTTCTCACTCTTCCCACCCACCCTCAACAGGATAACCTGAAGCAAATAGGGGCTGGTAGGGTGGTCTTTGAACCAGAGACCTCGGGAGGGAGTGAGGTTATGGAGGAGCTAGAAAAACCTGAAAAAATCTGAGTAGGCTGAAGCAAATAGAAAAATTGTTGAGGAAGTGGTTGTTGCCAGTGTTTGGGAAAGGCTAAAGTTAACCCTCATCTTCTCTACCACACATCATCCCTTCTTCTTCTTCCCTCTTTCTCATGATGTGGGGATACAAGCTAGATTAGAATGATGGGTTTTTCCAGATTAGGGGCCACTGATAATAGAAATGTTCAGCCTGGAGAAAAACTTCAGAGATAAGTGTGTCCCTCTAATTAACCTCTTCACTCATGTTGCAGACCTCTAGGGCAGCAGGAGCCTGGGCGTACCTGCTGTTCTGAGTGGGATCTGGGGGAAGTACATTGGGCCATTGGGCCTCTCACAGGTCCCTACTGCCCCACCATTTTAGACTTTGGAGAGAAGCTCAGCAACCTCGAATTGCACCCAGTAGAGAAGAAGGGAGCCCCGAGGGTGAGCCCATGGCCCAGGCGGGGAGATTTTGCTTGGAACATGTTGCCCTCTGAGCAAAGGCTGCACCCCACACCAGCCCTGCCAGAGAAGTCTCAAGAGAGGTGGGTGATTGGAGTCCTGGTGGGAGGTCCCAACGGTGCCACGGCTAACCCGGTGAGCTGCAGGGACAAGTCCCAGGATGCGCGCTAAACGTAAGTGGAGAAAGGATCTCCAGGTCCCAGGTGCCACCGAGGAACAAGGTTGCCATCCTGTTAAGAAAAGGGCCGGGCTCTGTGATTTGCATATAACTTTGCAAAAATCTGCATGAGATCCCGTAGCCCTTATAGAAAACAGAGTTAAATCATCAGTGCAACCTACTGTATTTCTAGTAACCCAGTGCAGAGTGCAACCTGAAAAATACACAATCATTTTGTAGAAGAGGATATAGAGGAAACAGTGTGTGTAAGACTTTCCTTGGTCTGACGGTTCAGAAGAAGCCCACCAGGTCCACAATCCAGAGGAGGATCACTGATGAACCACTTTTACTAACTTGGTTGGAACTCAAATCCATACGCTTTCATCCCATTAGACGCCTGTAGACCAGTCCTGCAGTGGCTTCCCAACGTTCCAGACCCATAAGCAGGAGTAGTCAGGAATAATAGAAATGGGGATGCATTAAATGTGAGATCCTAGTGACAGTGATCATTAGTGTTTATTTCATATCCTTTATTTGTTTTCTTGTTTAAGCTCTTTTAGGGTCCCTGTGCCCTACCAGCAAATCTTGCTATATAACATTTAATTGGGAGAAAGAAACTGACAAAAGTTTACCCATTTATATAGTACATCGTTGACAGTAATGGACTTAAAATTCATGATTTAACTGTTTCCAGGGACCATGACAGGTGACAATCTGTAATTTTTCCAAGGCATGCAGCTGGTTTGGGTAGACTGCAAGGCTGGCTGAGGGAGTGAATTCCTGAGTGAGAGAGTGAACGAGTGGGGAGCCAAGCTGGAGACCCAGCTTCCATATCCAGCATGGCTTCCACCATCTCTACTGGGCCATCTGAAGCAATGAAATCACTGTTTCCTTAAGAAAAATGACCTCTCAAGGAAGGTCAACTTGTAATGCTCTTGGAAGAGTGATATATTCTAAAGAGCAATGGCTCTTGGCCAAAAGAAAAGTTCAGGATCAATTCCAGAGTATAATCTCACAGTCTCACATTGACTGTGGCTCAGCTCCATGATGTGAAAGGTTCTATCACACTTGCCGCATGGAAATGAGAAAAACAGTCTGAAACTCTCTTAGTAAGAACTCCAGCTGGGCAAAAACTGTTCATTTAGTGAGAGAAAATACTTCAGCATCAAGCTGAAGTGGCAGTTACCCTGAGCTTCCAGGAATATAAGGTATACTTAGGATTCAGAGAGGAGATGAGATTCTGAAGAAAGCCAGGAGCTATACACATGCATTTGTGAAGTAACTCACAGCAAAAGGACTGGTGAACTCACTGAGCCCAACTTTACAGGGCAAAAGTGGCTTAAGAATTTTAAATCACGGCCGGGCATGGTGGCTCACGCCTGTAATCCTAGAACTTTGGGAGGCTGAGGAGGGCGGATCACGAGATCAGGCGTTCGAGACTAACCTGGCCAACACAGTGAAACCCCGTCTCTACTAAAAATACAAAAGTTAGCTGGGTGTGGTGGCAGGCGCCTGTAATCCCAGCTGCTAGGGAGGCTGAGGCAGGAGAATCACTTGAACCTGGGAGGCGGAGGTTGCAGTGAGCCGAGATTGCACCACTGCACTCCAGCCTGGGTGACAGAGTGAGACTCCGTCTCATGTACTCTAGAACTAAAATATAATTAAAAAGAAAAAAAAAACAAGAAAGAAAGAAACAAAAAAAAGAATTTTAAATCACATTTTTTCTGTGTGTAATGTCATTAGCATGGAAGGTGGCATCAGCTGTCCTGATTAGCTAGACACCCCCACACACACCATAATTCACTGTCATTACCAGGTTTTTTTTTTTTTTTTTTTATAGATGTGCTACAAGGCCTACAGAATTTATTTTAGTGGCAGGATTTAATAGTCTTATAAATGCTGAGTTTGGCATTCTGCTCTTTATACGGTTGTTAAAATTCTGAAGAGGATAGCAGTTTAAAAATATTTTTATTGTTCTTATTAATAGCTAACATTTATTGAGTGCTTACCACATGTCTGACAAGGTGCTGAGTGTTTCACATGCATCATTTCACATGATCTGCACCACAACCTCATGGAGTGGGTAATACCATTGCCCTCATTTTGCAGACTGAGGCCTGGAGAAGTCCTGCCCAGGATCATACAGCTGGCAAGTGGAGGGGGTGAGATCTGAACCAAGGTTTGTGTGACTTCAAAGCGGTTCTTAATCACTGTACATGTTGCCTCTTCTAAAGGAGAATCCATCTTCTAAATAATATTTGTACATTTGTATGTTTGTGGATTCTAAAAATCTTGGAAAGCATTCCTCACATAAGAATCTATCCTGTCCCTGAGGACCTAACCTGAAGTGGTTTGGGTCACTTCATTATATATATCCATTGGGGGTTAAAGAAAATTTCTTATCCCCTTTTAAACCTTAAGCTATGATGATCTCTGTATATCCACAAATCTTTCTCATGATGGTTTGATGTGTGAGAAATAGGAAATAGGTGATAAACTCATATGGGTGATACTGAACACTTGCTCCCTTAAGCCCTGAGAAAATACATACACAGTTATCCAGGAAGCCATTATTTTATATAGCCCACTTGGTACCTTAAAAGAGTGGTTAAACTAAACATCAATGCATAGCTCTTAACTTTAAAAATGATAGTCATTCATGACATTATTGAGATGATTTTTCAAAAATCTGGCCTAGGGCAAGGACTAGTGGAAAAAGTTTAAGTGGAAGTGTGAAAAAGAGACCATTAAATTTTTTTTTGAAATGCCAGTAATTTCTCTTCTTTGAGAAAACAGCTCTCAGCTTAGAGTTCATATACATTTCATATCCAATAACTCTATACTTTGGCTTTCTGATTCCATAGGCCAGTGTAGAGCCTGAGATCAACTTTTTGAAATATTTGCCTGGTAATTCTAAGGGTCACTTGCCTTGGAATGCTTAGCACAGAGGTCTTTTCTTTATGCCAATCACTCCAACATCAGAAAAGCTGAGTTTTGCAGGATATCAAGCACATTTTCACATTTTCCAGCACACATTGTCCAGAAGCACTTGTCTTTGGCATTTTCCATCAGGGGCAAGAATCAGTGAGACCCACTTTATAGGACAGTGGCTTTTATTAACCAAACCTTCTCAGCATTCTTTTTTATGAGGGGAGGGTATGCTAAAATTTCCCCTATCTCCCCCTATTCATGTACAGACTCCTTCATATAAATGCTGTTTATTTAATATACTGTAGGCCCCATTCTAATGTTAGACTTTTGGAATAAGAGCTGAGCTATAGTGAGACGTTTTGCATTCATTGGACATCCAGTGATAGAAAAATAGCCACAAAAGGAGAACATGTTTATTATATTATACCTTTTCTCGTTCCACTAAGAATTTGAGGCAGTTATTTTGCAATAGATTTTCAAATGCATCTTCAGTCGACTGCATGTTTCCAATGTTTTTTGTCTGATGGATTAGAAAACCATGGAGGCAGGGATGTGCTTGAATTGCTATTCGTATGGCTAAGACAGAATAAACAGCCTCCTCTAAATTCCTGACTCATGCCATGCTCTGCTTGGCACAGAAGACAGTGAGTGATTAACAGACAATACATGGAACACAGAATTTTCTTGGTTTTTAAATTCAAGTGTGTTTTATTCAGCTTATGAGAAGAGGGAACTGATAGAATTTATATTATTTGGGCCAAAATGTTGCTTTGTGTGTTTTTGCCTGAATCATCCAATTGTTTTCTTTAGTGGACTTGGCCAGTGGAAGGCAGT
This sequence comes from Homo sapiens, assembly GCF_000001405.40. Lineage (NCBI taxonomy): Eukaryota > Metazoa > Chordata > Mammalia > Primates > Hominidae > Homo > Homo sapiens. The sequence goes on along the minus strand of NC_000003.12, from coordinate 124,514,707 downwards.
GTGCATAATGGATATCAGAAACACCTGGGTTCAAATCTCATCTCTGCCACTTTCTGGTTGTGTGACCCTGGGTAAATTATTCAACCTCTTGGAGTGACGTTTTCCTCATCTGCAAAATGAGGATAATGATACTTACCTTGAAGAATTGTTGTGGGAATGACAGGAGAGAGTACATGTAAAATGCCAGGCTCATATTAGGAGTTCAGTAAGAAAGGCAGTGGTTACTGTTAGTTGCTTAACCTCTGGATGGCTTGCTTGCAGGCAGCCTTTGTGATTTTCTCTGCCTGCCCAATTATAGCAGTGACTTCTTAGGGAAAGGCCTGTATCTCTTCCATTAGATCGGGTGGGGAATTCTGTCCTTGGCAGGGACTTTTAGGGAAAAGCCTGTATCTCTTCCATTAGATGGGGTGGGGGATTCTGTCCTTGGCAGGGACTTTATGTATTCTGTGTTCCTTCATTACCTACAGAGGAACTCTGTGAATACTATATTAACTGGTTTTAAAAAGGCTTTCTCCACCTCAGGTTTCAAACCAGAGCCCAGACTGGAAATATCACTTGATGCAGCCATCAGAATTAAAAACTGAGATATACAGTAACAAAAATATTAAATACTGCATAGAGAGAAGACATAAATTAATACCATGAAACACACTTTCAGGTCAGCTCTTTTCAAGGACTGATTTTTGCGACCTTCTTATTTGTTTTATCATGCATCCTACTCTGCCTGAAGGGTCTCCTTTTGAATCTAGATGTTTGTGTTTGCTGCTCATGTTGACCCCAGGGCTCTTCTTCCCAAATTCTATAAGGAGGTTACTGATAAAGACAGGCTGGCTGAGCGGTCAGCGATGAGCAGGAAGGCCTCGTAGGTGGTGCGGAGGTATGCCCACCTGTTATGCTGCCTCCTGAGTGACAGGCTGGCCACACCCACCCCAGTGCAAAGACATCAGCCACAGCCAGCAACATTCAATCTATGTTTTTCCTCTTGCCATTTTTCCCTCTGCTCAGGGAACCCTCTGAGAGAACTCTGAACCTAGGCAGTGTGGGAGAGACATCCTGGAAAATACTTGTTTCATGTCATTTTTTGTTTGTTTCCAATTTAGAAAGGTTAGAAATAGTTTCTTTACCAGAAAACCTTCCCTCTGTCCTTAGACTGTGGGAGAGGAGGGAAGAGAGGGTAATGGGTTCGGGGGAGCTGTCTTGACCCACCTCCTGTTTAAAAGCTTGCTGCTCACACAGTGGCAAACGCTTTCCCTAGTGGGCGCTCTCTGTGTCCTCCTGACCTGGGTCCCCGTGTCCCCATGCTGAGTCACTCTGGGAACCCCTCCCTCTGGAATCACAGAAAGTAAACACCAAACTGGAAACACGTCTGCTTCTCTCTCCCACTGCATATCTCTTCATGAAAATGTCTCATGAATTTGAAGCTATATTTCAAGCTTTTCCTCACCTTTTCCACAGGTCTCTAGACTGCGGGGTTTTGGGGTAAACCTTCAAGAACTTCTTATCCCCTTCCTGCTCCCAGCCCCCTACCCCCTGAATTTTCTTTCTCTTTCTTTTCACAGTCCAAGGCTCCTGACCTTCACAACCAAACAAAGTTGCCAGTTCTTCAGCTCACAACCTCTGCCAGTCCTGCAAGTCAGCCTGAATTCACTGTCTGACTGCCTTCTTGAATCCCAAGGTCCTGAGAGCGGATCACCCTGTTCTCTGCTAGGCACCTGCTCGTCCCTCACCCTTGGTTCATGCAGAGGGTGGACCCCAGCAACTATCTGATAATCTTGTTCCTTTCTGGTCTTTAAAAAATAATATCTATTAGGTTTTTGTTAAATTTATTATGTCATGTTGTAAGACATAATACAAAAACTAAAAAAGACACCACCCAGAAATACCCATTATTTACATTCTGGTGTATTTTCTTCATATATACATATATGCATACATACATGCACATACGTATGTATGTACATATGCATAAACACACATACAAACACACATGTGCACATACATATTCCCCCTTCATGTTTTTTTTTAAATTTTTAATTGTTTTTATTTTTTATTTTTCCAAGACAGAGACTTGCTCTGTTTCCCAGGCTGGAGTGCAGTGGTGTGATCTCAGCTCACTGCAACCTCTGCCTCTGTGGTTCCAGCAATTCTACTGCCTCAGCCTCCTGAGTAGCTGGGATTACAGGCGTGTGCCACCATGCCTGGCTAATTTTTTGTATTTTCAGTAGTGGCAGGGTTTCACCACGTTGGCCAGGCTGGTCTCAAACTCCTGACCTCATGATCCACCCGCCTCAGCTTCCCAAAGTGTTGGGATTATAGGCGTAAGCCACCGCACCTGGCCACCCCCTTCATGTTTAAAAGCAAAATTAGTCTTTCATATTGAGAGAGAATAGGAAGTGGGGGCAAAAATAACTCCAGGCTACAGCTCAGGTAAGCCCTGTATTGCGCCAGCGACAGTCATGAGCTTGTGGAGGACCCGACTTACTAGTTTATGTCACTGGCCTAATGGCCAGGGAAAATATCCAAGTTCTTGCCCCTCAAACCACATAGATGAATACTTCTTACAGAGTATATGGGAAACACACTGAGGAACACACACACAAATTCATAAATATACACAAACCAGAGATATATACATAAAACATATCATTCAAATTACTGTTTGTGCTCTTTCTGTGAAAAGCTACTTCTACCTCAGTGTGCTGCAGGTAACACACAGTAGCAATCATAAGCCTGTGTTCATGGATCTTGTGATTCAGTGGTTGAGATTAAAAACTAACCCATGAGAAACAATAGCAAACCAGAAGGAGATACAGTCTCACAAAATGCTGAGGGATGGGATTCCAGTAATCACTCTAATGATGAAGATGTGTTCCAGGAATACTTTCCTGAGGTCAGAAATGTACCTCTCAGGACAGATAAATAATTTTGGAGACACAGTGATGCAGTATAGTTTGGTAGATGAAGGCAATTTTGAGATCATTATCTGTTACTGAAGCTGATCACACACGTACTGGAAAACACACATTGGAGGAGAGGTTTGCAGACTGCCTGGGACCCAGGGGAGGAGCAGGGGCAGAGGGAAGGGGCCTGCTCACTGGAGGCTCTAGGTCCTAGAAAGTGCTATGTGGTTTGGGAGCCATGCTCTTCTTCTAGAAGCTCCCAGGGACAGACCTTGCCTATTATACAGAATATGCAGCAGGCTGAGGAATATGCTATCATGAGAGTCCTCCAGTGGAAGTCACTTGAGCAAGAGGATAGAGAGTGAAGGAGGGCCACGATGTCTACAGACAAAGCTGTGGATGGAATCTGAGAAAAGAGTAGATCAAGGATGTGGTATATGATGAGTTTAGTTTCAGTTCTGTCGAGTAGAATGCAAGAGGTCATCCAAATGCAGTTATGTCATAGACAGTTGGAAATACGGTGCTGGATCCCAGGGTGAAAGGCAAGCGCTAGGAACAGAGAGTGTTCAACTCATTGTTAAGAGTACAGCTTTATGCTAAGCAACATGGCAAATACAAAGTAAATTCAGGGCAACGTATGCCCTGAATGTTAAAGAATAATGTTTGACTAGGGGAAGGGGAGAGGAGAGGGGCAATATTAGTGTAGGTGGCTCTGTGGGGATGAGGGGAAGGGCATGGATTAATGTGGAGAGCAGTGGGCATTTCCAGATATGAAAACCAGCCTGTTTTGTTTCCCTGCCGTGTTTCCACCCTAGAGCAGCACTTAGCACCTAGTAGGTACTCAGAAAAAAAATGTGGAGAATGAATGGGTAAGTGAATATGAAATTGGCATTAGCAGTACAGTCACTTCAGAGACATACTCTTGTGTTTCGAATTTTGATCATAGATATCAGAAGTGAAGCAACAAAAACTATTGTTGAAGAATGGGGAGTTTTAAAGAAAGAAGATTCAGGAGTAGAAGTTCAAGAGCAGTTCTCATTGGGAGCATGAGGTAACAAATAAGCATTAGATGGCAGAGGAAAAGGAGGTGTTTGACAATATGAGAAAGAGAAGAGGTGCTGAGTTGATACACTGACGGCAGCTACAAAGAAGGAGATCCAGAACTTGTGGATGGACTAACAATAGACTGTTTTGGAGGCTAGAGAATGAAAGAATAAAAGGACAATGACGCATCAAGGTGAGGATAAACGTAATTCTATAATCATCATGCTGAAACAAAAAAAAAACCCTCAGCATTTTTTGTGTGCTACTCAATAAAGTCTAAATTCCTTTGAATGGTGTTCAGCATCTGCCATGATGTGACTCAGCCAATCATTCCAGTTTTATTTCCCAAACCTTAATTCACAAACCCTGAACTTGAACCAGGCATACTGACTCTCCATGCCCCAAACTTACCCTATATTCTCCTTTCTCCCTTACCCCTCACTCTTGCTGTTTGATCCATTTGGAATGATCTTCCTCCTTGCTCCCAACACGAATCTTGCCTGGATAAATTCTACCCATTCAGTAAAATCTAACGTGGAACATTCTCTGATCTTCCCAAACTGGAAGCTTTAGTTTTCTTAATTACATTTGGTCCCAGTTTCTAGATCTCTCTCTTGCCCACAATGCCAAACACATCACATTGTGCTTGTTTGTTCTGGTGTAGTGCGAAATACAAGCGATGACCTCAGAACACACCCAGCCATATAGCACTCCTGATAGCTTCACTAAATAGAACCACACTATTGGAGTTAGTTCCTCCATCAGCTTTTGCTTTCATAGCTTTTCTGTATCCTCCCTTGCTGTCAACAGTTTAGCCTTTGTGGCAATACATGTGCCTATAGAGAAGTAACTTTCTCATCTTCTAATATCCTTTGGGTTGAGTAACTAGATGGCAAAGATCATAAGGATTATATATAAAATTAAGATTTGAAAGGCTTTCCTGTGAGCAACAGATGTTTAGTTTTGCTAGTTTCTTCCTAGATTTTGGCTGTTTGTCAGACATCTAAGATCCAAAACCAACAAATTTAGTACCTTTTTTCTAGCATATTTCATTGCTGCATCTCTATTACCTGCATATAATGTATAGAGTGAAATGTAACAAACATTAATTTAAAAAAGTCAACTTCTTATTCCTTCATTAAAATAGAGGCATACTTAAGGATTAACATAAACTTGCATTATATATTAAGTTTCCATGTTGGTACACTATTCTGTGGAGAAACAAATGGTGAACTGTACCCTAAAATACTAAATGTGGTTGGGAGCAGTGGCTCATGCCTGTAATCCCAGCACTTTGGGAGGCCGAAGTGGGTGGATCACTTGAGGTCAGAATTTGAGACCAGCCTGGCCAACATGGTGAAACTCCGTCTCTACTAAAAATACAAAAATTAGTTGGGCGTGGTGGTGTGCACCTGTAATCCCAGCAGCTCTGGGGGCTGAGGCAGCAGAATTGCTTGAACCCGGGAGGTGGAGGTTGCAGTGAGCTGAGATTGTACCACTGCACTTCCAACTTGGGTGACAGAGCAAGACTCGGTCTCAAAAAAAAATACAAAATGTAAGAGATGCCTCATATGTCACATCACATGAGCCTCTAACTTACCAATGTATAGCCTTCAGAATATCAAAGTGTATGTGTTTATCAAGACACAATAAGGAGAACGAAAAGATTTGCCACAGGGTGAAACATATTACATACATGACCAACAAAGGACTAATATCCAGAATATATGAACTTCTAAAAATAAATAAGAAAAGCCAAACAACCCACTGTACACACAGGTAAAAGCTTGAACCAGGGACATTATAAAAGAGAAAATCAAAGGCCCAATACAAACAGGAAAAGATGTTCAACTTGATTAGTAAGCAGGGAAACACGAATTAAAGCCATAAGTAGATATCAATACACATCCACCAGATCTGTAAAAATTTTGAAGTCTAACAATACAAAGTAGTGGTGAGGATATAGAGCAATGGAAAACTTCATATATATTGGCAGGAGTGTAAATTTGGTATCGGCACTTTGAAAAATAGTTGACATCTTCAAGTAAAGGTGAAAATATACACACACATCCTATCACCTAACAATTTTACTTTTAGTTTTATACCCTAGAGAAATTCAAGTACACATGCACAGGGGTATGTATACCAGAATATCCATAGCAGCATTGTTCACAATTGCCCCAAACATTGCATGTACAGAATGGATACATTGTGGTATACTCACACAATGGAATACTATATAATGATGAAAATGAATGAACTATACACATCAGCATCGATGAATCCCATAAAAATAAGTGTTGAGCAACAGAAGTGAGACACAAAAGGATATATGTAGAATGATTCTAGTCATATAAAAACAGCCACATTGAGATGAAATTGTTTAGGGATACCTGCATAGAAGGTAAAATTATAAAAAAAGTAAAGACACTATTATGCATGCAAGGAGAATGGTGACCTCCAGGGTTGTGACCAGGGAGGGGCACAAACGGGGATTCTGAAAAGCCAGCAATGTTCTATTTCATGACCTGCATGGTTTTTACATCTATGTTCACTTCATAATTATCCATTAAATTGTTCAGTTCTGTTTGTACATTTTCGCATATATATTTTGCATTTTGAAAAATTTAGAAAGTTTGATATAAATCAGATGTTTGTACTTAAGAATACATTTTATCTATAGAAATAAGATGGTAAGTAACATTTAATCAGATTGACCCATAACTTTCAGTTAGGTAATATAAATACTGTACATTTCAATTAAAAAATAATATAGAATAAATATTTTGGGACCAAAATTGATACAAAGAAGGAAAAACAGAAAGGAAGATGAACTTCAAGGCCAAGCTAAAATTTCACTTCTGATGTAAAAGTCTTCTTTGGTTCCCAGGCAAAATTTATCTTTCAAAAAGTATGCTTCTGGTTTAAATGTAACATATTGGGTGGTAAATGTGTATCTCATCTGGCACATTTGTCTTTGTAACTTCTCTGAGGCCTAGCACAACAACTGGCTTAAAGGAAGTGCAAGTACAACTGTCCCCCTTCATAAATACATATAATGTGTATATAGCCACCCTATCATCACATACTGTCACATATTATCAATTGGGGTGTGAACTCAGAAGACTGGGCAGAAATAGAAGTTGTTTTGATATATTCTGAATCTCCGTGGTATCTGGTCATCAATGGACACAATTAAATTTTGTTCAATAAAAGAATGAATTCAGTGTACCAATATACTTGAAATAATTTTCTGTTCTGCCTAAATTTCATTCTTCCGTGTTAACAGAACTTTCTGTTTGGGCATGTATCAGTGGTAGTTCCTAGTAGTTTGCCCTCCAAATAACAGCAAATTTCATGGTTGGGACTTCATATTCCCCTGTTGGCAGTATTGTCTTAAATTTAAATGTCAGAGAACATATTTTAGAAGTCTTTCTCTTTTAAGATTTTTAAAGAATTTTTTAAATTAATGCAGTAAGCATTCCCCTTTAAGAGACTGTGTGGAAAAAGGCCTAAGAACCGTGACCGTTCTCATTTTGGGGGTGGCAGGATGAAGTGGGGTGGGGAGGTGAAATAAGTTACAGATTTCAGGTTCCATGATTTGAAGTACCTCTCTTTAACAAACTACACCCACTCCATATACCTTCAAATCCTTTTTCAAGAAGAATTTTTCTTTTTTTCAAACAATAATCTGAAATGTCTCAAAATTGGGCATATTCAGGCTATCAGCACAGCAGAGAAAGGTCTAAGCAGGAAACGAGGGTGCTGTGTGTGCTTTCTTCATTGCCATATCCTCTGTGTCTACAATAGTGCCTGGCACATGGTAGAAGCTCAGAAAATGACTGATGAATTAATTAGTAAATGAGATAAAAAGACAGCCTACATGAAAATCCCAAGTAAAGGAAAATATAATGAATTTTTAATATCTTCTATTGCTCATTAAGCCAATCTGTTTTCCATGTGTAAATGAGGAACAGCAAACAGTAAGTGAAACTTTAAAAATTCTATTCTTGCAGAAAGGACACTAGCTAGCAGGAGAGAGGGTACAGATGTAGTAAAAAAAATAGAGCCTGGGTTTTCCTCCAGCACCTCATAACATTCAAAGAGGTATTTAAGTCCTTGCAGTTGAGTTGCCACAGGGCAGAAAGCAATGTATATAGGAGCATTCACAAAGCATTCTTTAGCCAGGATCAGCAGCGGTCATGCAGAAAGCATCTCTCCTGAAATTCTAGTTAATGTATACCTCTCTCTGCAATTAGCAATTTCAAAAAGAACTAGAATTCTTAAAGAAAAAAAAATTAGACTATCTGAACATTCTGAACATGTAAGACTCAACTTTAAGTTCCTACAAATGGGAGAGACTGAAAACAAACTGCCAGCCTGATATGAGAACATGCGTGCTCAACACAACCAGGGCCATATCTGCATGGGACATGGCGGGAGAAGGATGAGAAGGCTGATTAGTAGTGGGGCAAGTGTCTGGTTGAAAATAGGAGTGGACATCTGTCCTGGTCTGATCTATACAGTTCTGCATCTTCTTTTAGCAGTTTTCTCCCCAAAAGAAGAGCTCTCAAGCCTGAGGCAAGGTGCCCTTAACTGGCATCTACTACTACTGACCACTCCTGGAAGAAGCCCTGAGGACATTACGTCCTCACTGTTTCACCATAGAGGATCTTCGAACTTGTTTCTCTTGACAAAGCCGGCTTTTTAGCAATGTGGAAGGTCTCACCTCACACACCCATGTATTCACCCACTCCCATCATCCAACTGCCACTTTGGTTGTGGCAGACAGTTTGGCAGTAGTCACCAGAAGTGATGAAGTGACACTAAACTGCCAGGTAGGTGAAACCCAGGCAAGAATTTTCAACCCAAGCTCAAGATCACAAAAAAGAGTTACATTTTCCCACTTGTCTGGTCAACAAGATCTTTCCAAGAATTCTATGTTATGGCCACAGATGACATTGTTATGTTTTATACCACAGCACATACGGTAAAGGGAGCTCCAGCGAAAGCAGAGCCACAGCTTCAAAGCCACCTCCAGCCTGCCCCACCTACTCTACATTGCTTTGGCTCCAGAGGTTCTTGTCTAGCAAATTTTCGCTTAAAGATTTCTTGTTTTATTTTTTGTTTGTTTTTTTGAGACAGGGTCTCACTCCAGGTTGGAGTACAGTGGTGCAATCACAGCTCACTGAAGTCTCAATCTCTTGGGCTCAAGCAGTCCTCCCACCTCAGCCTCCCTAGGAGCTGAGACTAAGGCATGTGCCACCATGCCTGGCTAATTTTTGTTTATATATTTTGTAGAGATAGGGTTTCACCATGCTGCCCAGGCTGGTCTTGAGCTCCTAGACTCAGCTGATCCACCCACCTTGGCCTCTCAAAGTAGTAGGATTACAGGTGCAAACCACCATGCCCAACTCCTTCTGCTTAAAGTTTTTAAGTTTATTTTCATGCCTACCAGAAGAGCTTGCCTCTAGGTACCACACTTCCAATATCACTTCTAGTCATCCTGGAACTCAACTTTTGAAGAACAAAATTTCCCATTCCCTGTTTCCCCTACCATTAGTTTTGACAATGTGGATTCAGTCATTTTGTTCTATATGAAAATAACTTTTTCTCCTTAATTGATACAGAAGGAAGAAAGGGTAAGTGATACATCAAAAGGTCTGTACAGAACACTCCAGTAAAATCCTTGCCCTGAAAGCCACCACTTCTCTACCTGCAGGCTCCAAGCTTTGCTCTCCCCTCCCCTCCCTCCAACCATGCCATCTCCCTTCTTGTACCCCTTCCCCTGGCAGAACTGCAAGTGTACTCACTTGAGCCTTGTTTGCCTTGGACTGTCTCCAGCTAATCCACTTTAACATCTTGGCTTGCTCTCAGATTTGCTTTCTCCTTCCACCAAAATTCTAATAATAAAGTGGATTTCAATTTGAGTTGGGCTGTGGTGGGGCTGAACTGGTTCTGGCAGCTCAGTCCTCCCAGGCAGCTCTGAAGCAGGGATCTGCCTTGCCACATCCCAGTGCTCACTGCCAAGCTCTCAGAGCCCAACCAGAATTTGCTTGAGAGGCTGGAAGATTCTGTCTAGGGCAGAATCACACTCCCACCAAGGCTATGATGTGAGTCACGAGTACTTGGCATCAATGAGTCTGTGATAGGCATTAATACTTGCCACATGCCAACCCTGAAGCCCCTGGACTGGGCTACAGAACCACTTTGTAATTTACTTTGTGTTGCTGTGGATTTGCTGGGGCAGAGTGGGAGGTGATGCAAGGACATTCAGCATAGTGGGTGGATGGGAGGGTAATAGTAGGGTTTTCTTTCTGTTGCAAGGATCAAGCTGAACCATCAAGGTTACTACAAAAGCACTGCTTTTAATCCAACTTACCAGGCAGGAGATTGACCTGGTTTTGAATCTTAGGTCTGCTGTTAAGTGGCTTCATGACTCTAGGCAAGTCACTTTTTTTTTTTAAACAGAAGGAAGAGGGCTAGATGATCTCTAAGGTTCCTTTCCTTCCTAAGATTCCATGATTTCAAATTCCAAACTCACATTGAATCAGATCTAGTCTCTGGTTACCCTTGCAGCTATCACCTATAGATCTCATCTACTGGCAAATCACCTTTTCCAGTGTCCCTATTTCTGTAACAAGTACTTGTATAAACCTGAAACAAATTTTTATGCGGGTCCAAGTGCTCTGAGTACCACGAGAGCACTTCCGAGGTTTCCTGCAAGCTGCGTGTGTTCAGCAAACTACTCACTGTCTGCTATATTTTATGAAACTTACTTGCTTTTGCAGACGATTGGCAATTTTAATGATGGGTTTCTTGAGGGAGGTTTTTAAGCTATGGAATATAAATCAAAATATTAAGTAAAATAATGCTGATATGAAATATTTTGCCCTGTGAACCTAGGTTGTATTTTTCAGCAAAGTATATTTCATACCCTTTGGTGGTATGCAACAGCTGGAAGCCAGTCATTTATTTGAAGAAATTTCACTTAGAGGAAAACCTGTGACTTCGATTCCTCACACTTTATCAACTTGTTCTGAAAAGCCCACACATTTGTACTGTGTCGAATGTCTCTGAGGAGAGGATGGAGTTGTGCTTCTGGGAGGTGAGAGGGCAGCCAGAGGTGGGGAGCTGCAGGCATACCGAGTACCACAGAAACCTCTGCATTTTGTTGCTCTCTGCTCCTTCTCCTCCTCCTCCAGCCACCTGCCTACCACAGATAAAAGTAACAAAGGAACTATACTGGGAAGAAAGTTATTTTCAAACCTAGCTCTGGACTTGAATTATTAAGAAAGCTAAAAAAAAAAAAGAAATTACAATTTGGGCTTAGAGTGGAGATGGTATTTTTCCTACTTTGGGGTGAATATCAAGTCCTTGAGAAAAATCAGAGTGTTTCTATCGGATTTATACAGCAATTCTAATCCTGTATGCTGTCAGGTGTGGGATGTGACTGAGACTCGAGATTACGCAGCTATATTATAAAGCCCAAGTTTAGACTTCAGATATATCTACTCCAGGCCCTGGTAACAGGAAGTGCAATTATATATACTTTTCAGGTATTTATTTAAGGGTTTGAAGTGTTTTTTACTAAATGGCAGGCAGCATAATCTCTCCCTAATAAGAAATATTTCATGGGCCCCTCCAGCCCCACTGAGACAAAGGGCAGAGTAATACTAGTGCTGAGGAATTTTTCCCAGAGACCTATCCCATTTTTCCTGCCTTTAAGATAGCACACTTAATGGGCTGGATCTCCAGTGTGTGGTGCCACTGTCCAGGGACCACAGCTAAACCTAACATGCTGTCACAGCCACATGCTGGAGACCCGGTCTTGGATGGACCATCGTGATGGTTTTCAAGAATGTGTCAAGTGAAAAATATTACCATGTGAAGTGCTAAGATTTTTATCAATCCTAATGCTGCCAAGTCTCCACATTTCCAGATGTTTGGTTTTCTCTTCAGTGGCAAAACACAGTGGTCTGTGGCCCCTTGAAACTCTAGGGGGCATGTTGCTGCCTGTTTTCTTGCACATGAGTGCCCCACAGTCCCCTGGGCAGTGACCTACCCCAGGTCTTCTGTGCTCTTTCATATAGAATCTCAGCTAGTCCTTCAAAATCCCAGGAAGTAGAAATCACTGCCTTCATTGCACAGATGAGGAGATGGAGGTATGAAGTGATTAAAGGACCACTCAGGTCATGCAGCTGGTACCTAGTTGGGGATTGAATCCATACCTGATTTGAAAACCCATCCCCTTTCTTTTACATCACATTTCCTCCCTGCAGGAGACACTACTGGCAGCCCACCCAGATCCCCTTTCTTGCCAGGGCACCCATGTCCCAGCTCTTGTGCCTGTTGGCTGCTCACAGCTCACAACCGACACAAACGGCTGGCCCCCTTGCCTCAAGGCAGGGCAAACTCCATGCAATTCCTACTGCAGAGCTCTGGAAGGGACCAGCCTTCACTCCTTCCCCACTGGACCCTGCTTCCCTTCCCTCTTTCCCCCCGTAGGAGCACATCCTCAAATCACAGGCATGGGAATCTCAGTCGGAGACTCCTTCTAGGGGATGGGACCTAGGGTGCTCTCCTTTGACCTTTGAGTTGTCCTAACTCCATCCCTATTCTGTTTTTGTTTTGTTTTGCTTTTTTCCTATTTGTGAGCCCATTTAAGTAAAGACTTTCAATTTTTCTCTCAGTCATCTGTCCTCCATAAGCACTAATCCCTACAGGGAAAATAATGTCTTACATCTAATTCAAGTCCTTTCAGTTGCAGCATTAGCCCACTTTTTCTCAGAAGAAAAACCAAGCAGTCTTTTATCTCTGACGCAATTTACAGAAGACTAGAAATGGCCATCCTTTCTCCTTCTGGTTTTCTATGTACCAGAATGTAAGCTGGAAGATGGCAGGACCTCTTCTCATTTACTGCTGTACTCCTAGCATGGAGAACAGCTTCTGCTGTAGAGTAGGTAGGGCCTCTGCACAGTTCATGAACGAAGTGGGTGGGAATATGCCAACACAGGGGCTAGGCGTCCCCTGGTGCAGGGAGTGGTTCCTCTCTCTGGCTACTGCCCTTGCATCTAGTGGCCTCCCAGTGTGCAGGTGATGAAATTGTCAGTTCTGATGAACCAGGTAAGGCTCTACAGGAGGTCTGTTCTCAGAAGGCTCCTGCAGCCAGGCTGCCCTGCCTCTTGTTAACTGGCGTCATGCTACGGCTTATTATAAAGCAGCAGTGACACTGCAGGAATCCTTTGAATTTCCCCTTAGTTGGACCCTTACCATCTCCTACCCAAGCCTTCCTTCCCAATTGGTAAAACAAAATCTTGGTCATGACCCACTACATTGATGTGATAATTCAGGGTTTAAAAACCATTGAGTTATATCCGAAAATCTCAGGGGTTCTCCAGGTATTTCCCTGTTCTTCTTTGGCATATCACCATTATCAGCCCACATTTCACCTCAGCTCACATTAGCTTGTTACTGAAGTTCCTCTTCAAACCACACACCAGCCTGAAATGTTTCAGCAGTGTTCCTTCCCTTATAATTTTTTCAGAGAAGAGTACCAGCAAGTCAATTTCACTTCAATCTCCCTCTCTCCAGCCAACCCGGACATGTCTGGAAATTTATAGTGATTTTCAGATGGAGAGTATCCCAACTAGGATAGGTTTGTAATGTTCCATTCAATAAGCATTTATTTTATGTTTCCAGCATGCCTGGGCTAAATGGCAAATACATGCACTGGAACTATTACAGTGCAGATGGCTACTTTTGTACCATTAGCTGGATTCAGCAGATATCCATCAGGTTAAACAAGAAGATATTTGGCTGTCACCTCATTACTCAGCCCTGCTTGGCTAGAATTCTATAATTGTAGATTTCTTCTAAAGTGTGACTGCAAAGCCCCGCCATTTAGTAATGCACATATAGTCAAAAGACTATTTACAGTGGAATGACCTTTTCAGAAAACCATGAACTTACTCCTGGACAGAATAGGGAAGGTGGGCTCAGACCACCATGGAACAAAGTGAGCACACCTGTTTGCCCCTTGGGGAACTACCACTTTTGCATTAGACAGGTGTAAGGTAGAAGCTATACAGATCCATTTAAGTATTGAACAAAAGCAACCCTGGAAAAGCTACTAATGCCATTTACTGAGGCACCCATATTGTGTTGTCAGTGTTTAATGTAGGATTAAGAATATTAGACTGTTTTCTCATCAAGAGAGGATTTACAGCTTAAGAAAACAGCTCAGCTTCTCTGCTATAGAGAAAAGTGGTTGCATTTCTTTCCCTGGAGATGTTAAAGAAGAGTCAGACAAGGAGGTTTCCAAGTTACAGACCCTATGTGAGAAATGAGGAGGGGTGTTGGGCATTGGTCTTCTGCTCCCAATCTTGTCTTTTTAGCAAGAATTTGGATGAAGCTGCAGAAGATGCATTTATCCAATATTGCAGAGCGATATGGCTAACACACTGGACAAGATAATTTGTATTCAATACATGCTAGAACACTGAGATGGAACTAAATAAGAGAAAATCTAATAGACATAAAGTAGTCCTACACTCAGGTTACTAAGTCACCTGCCTGAATAAGGGCAGTCCATAAAAAAGGGCATGGAGATTTTCTGAGCCAGCACTGGACACATATGCTAAACATGGCATACCTTAAGGAGGATCCGCACACAGCAGCTAGTCCTGGAACAAGGAGCCATGTTTACATTAGTTAGAATACTTCTGCAGTATTATGTACCTTTTAGATGTATTTATATTTAGATGTATTTGTATTTAGATGTATTTATAGGACCCATTTTATGTAGAAATTACACACTAGAGTAAATCCAGATGAAGGCAACCTGGATGTGAAAAATATATAAATATAAGGAACAGACACAGAAACTGAGGACTTCTAATCAGAGATGATTTGGAGAAAAGATGTGACAAGCATCTTTCAACACTTAAAGGCTTAAGGGCTGCCACTGGTAAAACGTGGTACAATTTGAGCATTAAAATTAATACGTGACGGTAATAGACTATAACTAATTAAATAATAAAATAACCCATGAGCCAATGCTAACAGCAAATATCCAAACCTTAGATTCTAAGGGCTAGCAGATGGAAAAGAGAGTAAAGTTCTTTTTATAGACAGGTGAGTTGAAGCTACATCACTTTAGGTCTAGTACAGAGAAGAACCTGCTGACAGTTAATAAACAATAAAACCACAGGGCAGAACTAGCTCAAGCATTTTCAAAGACCCTCACAGTCTGCCAAATAATTGTGCAGTCTTATTCATAGTATCTAAACCTTTGCTTCCCCTCTAGTAAGAGTGGGAATTAACCTTTACTGAATGTCTAATGGTTATCAAGCAAATATTTTATGTAATCTTACCAATGACTTAGTGAGATAGGTATTATTATCTTTGCTTTACAGAAAAACGAAGGTGCAGTAACCTATGCAATGTGACACAGAGTGTCAGAGCTGGGATTTGAACCTAGGTGTATCGAACTCCTTCCACCACACCACAGCATACGTAACACACATGGAGTGGTTGGAGGAGATCCTGGAGCCGCCACAGCTCCCCAAGTTGGTGTGTCATGGCTCTTTAATGGTTATGCTTTCCTCATCTACTCAGCCAGACAGGGAAACTATTACTGTCATTCCTCTGGATTGTAAGAGGAAGACTGGGGCATTTTTCTAGAAGCCTACTGTTAGATGAGTCTGAATTGGGTGAGCTGTCTCCACCCCTTCCCCTCCCACAGCACCCTTGTTTGCCCTTCTGTTGAATATGAGTCAGTTTACCTGAATCAGTCCACTTTATTATTTTCCTTTTTTTCAGAGACTGTTCATCTGACCACTTAGAAACCAGCGTTCCCTGGCCATCTAGTATAGTCAGGGGAAAATCTGACACTGCTGATAACGTCTACAAGTTCAAACATACCAATGAGTGATTTAACAGAAGAAGAAAAGTGCAGTCACGGAGGACACATGGCTGCCCTGTTATCACTGTTTTGTGTTAGAAGAGTAAGAACATTTAAATTACAGTGCATAGTACTAGACTGATCTTCCCCTTATTTTGAAAGTGTGACTATGTCTAAGGAATTTTCTAGGTTTTGTGTACACACATAACATAGAATCTCCTGACCTGCTCATGTCTCCTAAGGCCAGAGAAGGTAGTTGGGATTTGATCTTTCTTTAGCATATTTAAAAATACAATGTTCATATATCTGTCTGCTTTCAGACCACTGGTTTTAGCTGCCTCTTAATCCTGGAGTTTCCTGAGACCAGCCATTTTGCCCCCTCTATTTATTTATTCCACAAGTATCTCCTGAGCCTCTATGTGCTGCATGTCAGGAGTACGGCAATGAAACAGACAGACACAGCTCTTGCCTTCATCGGGGCTCAATGACCTGGCTATTGAGACAGACATGAAACAAAAAACTACATAAGTAGAGATTCACACTCAACAAATAGTCCACATCTCTCTACAGCATCCAGCACAGAGCTTGGCACATGATGGGTGCTTCTACATGAATATGTGAGCACTGTTTCTGTGAAATATGCAGAAAAACTGACCAGCTGAGTTCATCCTAGTATCAGGAATTCAACGCTTTGACTTTCAGAGTGGGGGAAAACACGAAAAATCAGGAGATCTGTGTTCTAGTTCCTGCCTTCCCACTAACTACTAGAATTGTCTTGGGTGACTCACTTAGTTTCTCTGAGCCTGCTTCCTTACTTGTAGAATAAAGTCTAAGTACTAGGACCCCTCATTAATAGTAAAATGGCTGCCGTCAAAGGTCTTCTAGTCCAGCCCCACATACCTTGCCAGAAAGACAAGGAATAGCTGGAGCTGAGGTCTTCCTAAAACAAATGGCTCTAGCATAGGGGTCTGTGTCAAAGTCAGAGCTGCTGGGAAGATGGATTAGCAGCTGGAAGGGATGAATTCCCTGGACCATGACACTAATAATCTATGTCTCAACATGGGAAACACTGCACTTGACTTACCACCCACTGACTGTTTAAAGAGGAACACTTTTTATACACTAGGAACACTAGGTTATATTTCTAGACAACAGGTCAGAGGAGACAGGAAATTACAGAAATGGTTTTTCATTGTATGTTTTCACAAGTGGAAAAAAACCTAATTTTCCATCCACTCTGATAGTCAGTAGAAAATGGCTTAAAAACTTGAGGGCAGTTGTCAGAATTACCTTGAATGACCTTGAGCACTAGTCTAAAGCATGATTAGGGTGATTTGGCACCATAATTTCAGCAGGTTCGGGGCACAGTCCCCACACTAAGGTCTCAATGGTTTTTTTTCTCCCAGCAAGAAAAAATAGGAAAAATCCTAATGAATGCAGATCATCTTTAAAAGAAATACCTATAACTTAGAAAACTAAGATGAAGCAATGACACAGCCTGCTGTCTGAGCCTGAAGGAGCAGGCCAAAATACTAGGTCTGGATAAACTAGGGACAAATAGTCTTTGGAAACCCAGAACTTCATTAATAAGATCACTAAGAGGCAACAAAAGATCATCTCATACTCTTTGGATTCTAGAGTAAGCAAATGAGAGTAGGCTCAGACATGGACCCTTTCCTCCCCCTGCTACAAATTCCGGCGGTTGCATTCCTCACCTAGCTGGGGCAGATACACAGAGCCTTTGCTACAGTTTCTTTTCTTTTGCTTTCCCATCAGAGCTACTAACTTTTGCTTACTTGCTCCAAAATGTTAGAAAGCAAGTGGCCAGGCTTTCTCACACAACAACTACACCCTTCGTATACCACTTCCTGGTCCTCCTGTCTCTCAGCAACTGAGCCCCAATAATCTGGCCAGAGGAAAGCATCATTTCCACTAGAGTCCCTTTGGATAACAGGCTGCTACCAAACAGCATCTCTGTGGCCATTTCCCAAACCTTTAATCTTGGTCTAACTTTGAGATGAGCTCTTCTCAAATCACTGTAAATTTGAGCCAATCACAGCCACTAAGGTCTCAGGACACTATTCCAACTCAGCCTCACTGAGATCCATCCCCCCAGAAGGCACAGCAGCCCAAGAAGCCCAGGTGGGGCATCTCAGAAAGAGAAGAAACCTAGACTCCCTCACTGCTCAGCCTTCCCACTTCTGTTAAACTCTCCCAGTGTGAGAGGTCAGCCTGAACCACCGCAGTCTTCCATCCCCTCAGACCAGATCTCGTGCTGGGACATGCCTCCTCCAGCCCTGTTCTTTCCTCCTTGGCTGGCACAAAGAGACAACTGGCTCCTGAAGGTAGGATCCATAGTGAGAGAAATTCTCTAGGGGTACCTCTCCAGGGGTGGTTGAGCCATCAAGAAGTCTCAGGGGAAGGAAGGTTAGGACTCTGTCCTACCTTGTCACTGTCCACTGTGTTCTGAGAGGTCCTAGAAGCAATGGAGATGGTGTCTGGTTGGCTGCTCCCATCCCCCTGGCTGTCAATATCCTCCACTCCATCCCTGCAGGAAGAAGAGAAAAAAAACAGGGGTGGGGGTGGGGGGAACCACTGTGGGTTTAGAGCACACAAGGATTTCCGGTTGGGTGGGCAGAGCAGCGCCTCAGCACTTTCTAGCAGGGATTTGTCTAAAATTATCCTGCTAAAGAGAGTGGCCCTATGTGATTTTCAGTGATGTCACTTCTTGCACTTAGTAAACACATAATCACTATGTTGATAACTAAATGCAAAATGACCCCCTTCCCCAAAACTCCTCCAGCCCATGCTGCAGAGGGGGTGTATGTATGTATATATGTGTGTGTATATATATATATATATATATATATATATATATATATATATATATATACATACATACACATACACACACTTGGGAACGGGTCTGTAAGAGGCAGTAGGAAGATATATATCCTACTTAGAGCCTAGGCTTCTATCCAGGTGATTAGGTCATTTTAATAATCCCAAATTCAGGGTATTCAAGTTTTTGTACATGCTGTAATTAAGATGAGGGTTCATTTACAGCTGGCCTATAAAGAAAACAGAAGTGACAAGATTTCTTCTTCTTTTTTTTTTTTTTTTTTTTTTAAGATGGAGTCTTATTCTGTCACCCAGGCTGGAATGCACTGGCATGATCTTGGCTCACTGCAACCTTCACCTCAAGTGATCCTCCTGCCTCAGCCTCCCAAGTAGCTGGGTTTCCACGTGCCTGCCATCATGCCCAGCTAATTTTTGTATTTTTTTGTGGAGACGTGGTTTCACCATGTTGGCCAGGATGGTCTCAAAACTCCTGACCTCAGGTGATCTGCCCGCCTTGGCATCCCAAAGTACTGAGATTACAGGTGTGAGCCACTGCACCCGGCCAAGATTTCTTTTAAACTTGAGTTTCTTCTGTTCAAGAAAACAGGTTGTGTGGAATATTGTCTCCAGGGGATATTAACTTTGGGAAATTCCTGATATTAGACCTTCAACTCCTGGGTGTGGAGAAGGAATTTATTGCCTTCATCTGGCTGGGTTTTGAGGATCTCATGCATGTTTATAATGATTTCTTATCGATACAGAAGGCCAAGGCATTTTCTCAAAGATTGGTGAACAGTCACAGGTTCCACAGCAGCTTTGGAGCCAGCTGTGCTTCTGTGTGTCAGCTAAGGCCATCTCCTGAGTGCACTCCTGGCATTTAGACCCCTTCCTGGGCCCCGGACCACACAGCTGTCCCCATGTTCTTTCAGCTCTCCAGCTGTAGAACTGTGCCCCCATCCTGTACCAAGCCCACAGCCATGGCCAAAAGGGATTGCATGTCTGGAAACTGATGAAGGCTGCAAGGTCTGTGCCAGGAAAAGCTGGGGGAGATGTGGAGTTGGAGTTGGGTGAATTAGCACAGGAAATGACAGCTTTTCCCCAGGGGGCTTTTATAAAAGATACCCTGATGCTGCTTGTGGAGAAGTAATGGCATCAGGGGACAGGGAAACTGAAAGCCTGAGAATCCTACCACATGAACAAAGTGCCACAAATAACGAATTCACCTCAAAGGGTCTAAATGATTGCACTCTGGTGTATGTGTGAATGTATGTGGATGTGTGTGTGTATGCAAGTACCCATGCATGTGCACATGTATACACACAATGTCTATTCATCATAAAAAGTATTTTCTCCCATCCAGAACATTTCTAAGTCAACTGCTCTCTCACCATCATTTGTGGGCTTGGGAAATGCCAATTTATTTTAATAACATAAGCCACACATTCATAGGAAGGAAAATCTGCTGTAAAAAGACTTTATGTGACGCATTTCAAAACCAAAAATAAAGGACTTTTAGATCATCTGTTGTTTTGGATTATCTGGGCCAGCGCTCCCCACCATGTGTAGACAGTTGAGAGCTGGCTGTACTTTCTGCTTCCCGCTATTCTGGCCCATGGTGGGCCCTTCTGGTCCACTCCAGGTGAAGCCACTTCTGGGGGGATGTGGGGAGGCCACCTAGGACTGTGGGTAGTATTCCCCAACCAATGAACTCCTCTATAAACTGTCCCCATATCCAGGAATCCAAGATAACGGAATTAAAGACTGCTTGGTTATTCTCTGCAGAGTATGCCAAGGTTTCTCACCCACCCATTGTAGGACAAGAGAAAAGGTGGGAGCAGAGAAAAGGTGGGGGCATTTCCAAGATATGCCTTTCCCATGTTCTGGAAATGCTCAAACTCTCCTACTATAGGAAAAAGGGGCTATGTCAGGGTAAATAAGCCTAGTCAGCCTCACCTGAGTATCCTCTTTCACTATGATCCTAGACCATCATTTCTTTGTAATTGTTTCCTTTCTAATTTATTTATTAAAGTAGGGATTCCCTGAGGCATGGCCTGTCTCCACTGCTAGACTTTAGTCCACCCCCTCCTTACCTGGACTCTGGACATAGATAACTGGCATCAAAATGACCCCTTCACCAGAGCAGTTATAATTTGTCCATGCAGCACTGAGGAGGTGAACTTATCCTGGTCATGCAGGTCTTGGGGCTTCCGCCCCATGGAGGTTTCTCCACCATAGTCACACCCTTCTTTTGGCTACCACCTCACTCAGGACCAATGCTGCTGCGGCTTCATAGGCCCTGAAATGGCTCCCTACCCTGCTTGTCCTGGTTGGTGCCTAAGGGTCAACTAAATCCTCCAGATTTATTCCATTCAGGTACAGGGGAGGAGGGAAGAACCTGTTATCACCAATGGCCATCTCTGCTAGAACCCCATTTTTTTTTCTTCAAAATGTACGTGAAGTTTTTGTATGCTTTCTTTGGAACTGTCCCCCAAAAGAGTCATTGTAAGTGTAGGTGTCACATGGAGACTTGGGAAAGAAATACTTAAGAAGTCATCCATGGGTTTAGAGGAAACTGGGATTCAGAAGCATCCAGAAAGATATAAGTCCTCTTCTGCCCAATGACGTTGCTTATCATAGGTGAATGAAGGTGAGGTCTCTGTGGGGGTTGCAGTAAGACCTGCAATGAAACCACCACTCCACACATTACAGTACACAAAGCCCTTTGACTATCCAACCAGTCCAGAGAGTTCCTCCACTCTAGGACTCATCTAAAGTCCCCTTTCTTTGAATTCTTATAGAATTTATGATCCCTATACGTGGTTCTTCTGGTCTATTTCATGTGTCAGACATGACTATTAGATGGCTCTTAAGGGAATCGACTCATCTTACACTTCCTTTTATCTTGTAGAACCTAGCAGAGTGTTTATCATATAAGAGGTGCTCAATGAAGCCCTGCTGAATTTGACACTAGTGAGATGCTTAAAGATCAGATGACTCATCCTAGGTAGAACTCACAGGCCTTCCTGGAGAGTGCCACCTGCTGGGCACATCCCCCTTCAGAAGCAAAGATTCATCCCATTCCCGCACCCGGAAGCCTGTGAGGCAGGCAGTGCTGGAGGGAGAGGTGCTGGTTACCTCTTACTATTGTTCCTCTGTTTGGCTGGTGTTTTGGGGAGCTGAAGTGGCTCCTTTAAAGCTCCTTTCAGGTGAATGATCCTTTCTTGAATCACTTCTCGAATGTTCTTGATCCACTCCTGCTTGGTTTCAATGTTGGAGGCCTAGAGTGCCACAGGGAGAAAGACTGAGAACCCCAACTCCCATCACCTTACCAAAAACAGTTCTCAACCCTCCTGCAGTCTTCATCTGTTATTTTCAAGGATTCCAAATGTCTGGGGAGTTTATTTCTCATTTCATACTTATGACTCTTCAATACCAGAAACAGGCTTCTCCAACTCCCAGAACAGTGCTCCGACCTCAAGATTCAATGCAGAATTACTTGTACGGGAGTAACTGTCAAAGTATTTCATAACTCATAAGGCACTGACCAATCCTGATATCTGCCCTGGAGGTGGAACAGTATCTGGAAGTTCCCCCTGGGACAGGGATTAACACCTGGGTTGCTAGATCCTGGGGAGGTCTGGTGGGCACTGGGAGGGGCAGCATCTACTTCCCAATCAGTATGGATATATGTCAGGATGTTCACCTAGCATGGCTCCACAGACTTGTACTGACTAGAAATCAGTCCTGGGTTTGTGGCAAGCTCTGTTAACTAAAGGCACTGCTATCATTTTATGATGATCCCATTTGTCTTGGTAGAATTTTTTTTCTGGTAATTCTGCCTCACAACAGGTAGCAGCTATGCTGGCAGTTCAGAGTGAATACATGTGAAGCTTTTGTCGGGGTTGGACCATTTTTTCCTTGGTGATGGGCACTTTCCTGACAAGCAAATGACTGCTGGGAACTTCATCATCTGCATTATCGCTGCTCAGACAGGCTAACATCACTGCTGTGCCCCAGAGAGCTGCAATGACTCCTCAAGGCCGTCTTCTGGTGAAAGGCTCCCTCTTGACATTTCTCTCCATCAGCATGGTCCCCATGCTAATGTGATTTAGTAGGGGTTCAAGAATGTAGGTTCCCAGGGAATAAGGTCCATATCTTATACATAGTTATCCCCCACCACACTAGGCACTATACCTTTTACACGGAAGTTATTTAGGAAAAAATGTCAAATGAATGTGGAGCAAATCAAGGTGTCTTTTGTCAAAGCGTCAATTGTTCTTGCCACTTGAAGGAAGAGATACGGACAGAGCACAGTTTAAGCGGGCCTTGCTGAGCTGGTCCCACAAGCCACTCCCTGCTTTCTTCCCTCTTGGTCACACATGTGCATGCACTTGAGGAGACCATGCGTCTTTGAGATTCTGGGTCTACTTTCATGATAGAATTTGCTTCTCAATGCCCACGTGATGCTGCCATTCCCAAAAGAGGCCCATGGCTCAGTAGAGTCTCTGGGCCTTAGCTTTGAGGTGTCACTTGCCCACCCCCACTTCTATTATCCCCAACCCTAGTTTGTGCCTAGCAGAGAGCAGTACTTACTTTCAGCACTGTTTTATTGTCTGAGGATGGGGTGCGCCCAGACCACAAGGCGAATTTGCAGGGATCGCCCTCCACGTGCTCGGTCACACCCAGCTCTGAGGTCTGTAGACAGGAAATGCCTATGAGAGGCGGGGAAGGGGAGGGCAGTGGGGAAACTTAGGGCTGGGGTGGGAAGGGAAAGGCAACAAAGAGGAGAGGACCGAGGGAGGGGCTTCTGTCAATCAAACTTTAACAGATTGGATATTCTGTTCATCTACCCAGGATGAAAGGACCTACAGGCACGTGCCTGATTAGCAGGTACCAGGGAGGGAAGGTGAAGAGGGAGGTGCTAAAAGCAAACAGAAAGAAGAACTGTGAACTCTACAATGCAGACGTGGGAGGTGAGTGGGGTGCTTTCCAAATAGGAGACATTTTCATTTGTCCAGGATGGTTTTGGTGTGGAGGCCGGGGAGGAGATGAGATGAGTGTGTCCAGATCCCTTCCTGCCCATGGGTTCTATGAAAGCAGGGAGTCTTGTCTTACCCCACCTGCCCCACCTACCAGTAGCTTGTTCTTGTAAACATATTTCGTGTGTCCTGAAGAATCTTTGATCTCCTTGCTAAAAACCAAGGAGATCTCAAAGAGGAACAAGTGCCGCTCCCGCCCCTTCCGGATCAGCGACTTCGGGTCCCACACTTGAAAGGCATCCTGGAGAATCAACTCCCCCTGCACATCCAGGTTCTCGTCGAACCCTGAAAAACATCCATTTCCACCCTGTGGAGTTTCTCTACTGCCACAGTCAGGGGGCCATGTTCCACCCCCCTCTTGGAGAAAGGCCTCTCTTATTGTTAGTCTTCAGTTACTGAAGGGTTTTTTTCTCTCTGCTAACTCCAGAGACTGCTGAACACTTCCATAGACATCTCTGAGAATTGCAATTAGATCTCTCCTGCCCCCTTCCTGCACCATGTCTTTTATATACATAACCAATATTAGTGGAATCTCCTGCAAAGGTCCTATGCAACCTCACACCTTCACACACCCACAGTTGGCCTCCTGCAAGGGCAAATCCCATAGCTCCTTTGTCCTCCACAACTTTCTACTGTTCCTGACTTGTAGCTATGAGTGGGGTTGAGGACAAACACTGCCTGACTGAGTGTCTTCAGCTCCTCTTTATGTGTCATTCATTACCTTAATTCTTCTTATTATTATTTTTTATTTTTTTTGCAGTGGCATGATCGTGGGTCACTGCAGCCTTGAACTCCCAGGTTCAAGTGATCCTCCCAGCTTAGCTTCCCAAGTAGCTGGGTCATAGGTACATGCCACCATGCCCAGGTAATTTTTGTATTTTCTGTAGAGACAAGGTCTCCCTATGTTGCCCAGGCTGGTCTTGAGCTCAAGTGATCCTCCCACCTTGGCCTCCCAAAGTGTAGGATTATAGGCATGAGCCACTGTGCCTGACCTACCTTAATTCTTATATTCCATTTCTAGAATTCCTCCCTTTGATTACTTTGCACAAGCCTTCAACAGTTTATATTTATACCACTTGAAGTTTTTAAGAGATGCTCTCAAACTTTACTGTGCATAAGGATCACCTGGAGAGCTTGTGAAAACACAGATTACTGCCCACCCTCCAACCTCCCCAGATATTCTGATTTAGTAGGTGTGGGGTGAGTCCATGAATGTGCACTTCTGACAAGCTCCCAGGTGCTGTTGCTGCTGCTGGTAAACAGACCATGCATGGAGTAGCTGGATCCAGAGCATAGGTCAGGGACAGACTGGAGGAGCTGGGTACTTGCAGGTACTTCCAGGGTGGGGTGGAGGGGAAGGTACAAACAGAGAGGAAAGGAGTGGAGAAAAATGTCAACAGGAATACATTGAGATGGTTCCTGCTCAGCCTAGGGAAAATAGCCAGGGCTCCTTTGCTCTAAGAATTGAGGCTTCTGGTGCTAAGGATGGTCTGGGAAGTATGGAGACCGTATCAAGTCTCCCAAGGTGGTGTTGGTGGTATTGGCGGAGTAGGATGGAGTCCAGAAGAGAAAAAACAGCCCACGTGTTTACATATTTGCAACAGACTATACACATTTCCTTTAGCACCCATTAAAAATGTTAAGTCTTTTTGTTTGTTTGTTTTTGTTTTTTGAGATGGAGTCTTGCTCTATCGCCCAGGCTGGAGTGCAGTGGTGCGATCTCAGCTCACGGCAACCTCTGCCTCCTGGGTTCAAGCGATTCTCACACCTCAGCCTCCCGAGTAGCTGGGATTACAGGCATGCACCACCACCCCTGGCTAATTTTTGTATTTTTAGTAGAGACGGGGTTTCGCCATGTTGGCCAGGCTGGTCTGGAACTCCTGACCTCAGGTGATCCACCCACCTTGGCCTCCCAAAAAAATGTTAAATCTTAACTCATCTAACAAATTCCACCCCAGTATGGCTGCTCTGCCCACTCATTCTGCAGTGTTAAGACCACTTTATTGGAATCTTACTCTACAGGTTTCTGGTCCCAAGAAGATAGCTTCATCTGACTGAAGTCTTATCAGAGTTGTTTGGCTGGACTTACTAACCTTCTAGAGGACAAAATGCTGGTTGCACAAGAATGTGAATGTATTTAATGCCACCGAACTGTACATTCAAAAATGGTTAAAATGGTAAATTTATGTTATACATATTATGTATATTTTACCATAATAACAAAAAAAGAGCATAAGGCTGAAGATGGTATGTTTTGTGTGTATGTGTGTCTGTGTGTGTTTATGTGATCAGGCTTTCTATTCATTGTGATGACCAAGGCAATGTAATGCAGATGCTATGCAGACTAACAAGACTGCTGTAGGTTGGAAGCTCTAGCACATCAACAGTGAGGGTGATGGCCTGTCCTGGACTGTCTCATGGGCAGCAACATGTCCACATAACCTCCAGTGGCTTAGGCCTGGTCCTTCCTAGAAGCAGGGTGCTAGCCAAATTGGTCCTTGTGGAGCCCCTCTCACATGACAAGGGCCTATGTAACTACTTGTCATTTCTTCTCTCTTCCAGCCTTGCACCTTGTCTAACTTCATGCCACTTCCCTCCCATGATACAAGCTCCCCCGTGTCAAGGAAGAGAGGAGGCTTCCCCAGTGCTGGGAGGACAGCTACCTTCCAGCATGCTGACATGCATGGCATCATTGGCTTTCTTTGGGACACTGAGCATCACCTCCAGGCCATCCTTGAGCTCCCCTTTCCCTTCTTCACAGCAAGTTAAAAGTTCCTGGGGAAAAAAAAGTCCGGACATAATTAGGGCCATCTCCCCCAGCTTCCTCCCACCACCTAACCCAGCAAGGAAATTATAGACCAGCTTCGCTCTCTGTAATGGTTCCCTCTGAGCTATAAAGAAAGTGAGGTGGGGTAAAAGGGGTTATCTCTAAGAATTCAAGCACTATTTTTCTCCCACACTGAGCATTCTCAGCCCAATCTAGCCCAAACTAACTCAATCCAACCCAACTCCCAAATGGCTTGACCTGTAAGGCAGCAACTGAGGCATTCTCTGTCACTGGACTGCCCTCTTAGAGAAGGGACTACCCTGGCAAAGCACGTGAACAGAGGTGCAGTATTGTATAATCCAATAAAGAGAATAAAGAGAAGAATGAGGAGGATAAAGGGAAGATAAAGAGTGTGCTATGCAGTACCCAAATATCCCTGCATGCTTACTGCTGACACCACTTTTATTTACAAGCCTCTACAGCCTGAATGCTGACTTCCATCCCACTGGGAACAACTTGAGGTTGGAGACTTAATAGGCTTATGACATCCCAGAGTAATAAAATATTTTTAGATCATATGGATCAGGAGTTCCTAATCTGGGGCCAATAGATGGGCTTCTAGGCTATTTCATTGTCAGATGAGGTAAGTGCGATTAAGAGAGATGAAGTGATTTTCCTCAGGTTATATAACTCAGTGGAGGCTATGCAGGGGCCTGAATCCAGGTCTCCTGAATCCAAGTCTGGCACTTTATCCACCACATCAACCCTGTCTCTCCTATATTCTGTCCCCCATTGAGGCTTCCAGGGGCAATACCCTCTTTCTTTTACCTCCTGGGGAGCTGGGGAGTGTGTCCTTTCTTTTGTATTTCCTCATTGGAGACTCAGTCATCACCATCCCCATAAAAGATATATAGTATCTGGTTGGTGGAGGAAAGATCATTTCCAACTATCTTGAGAATCATAAGACCACTTGGAATGATTTTTGCCCAAACCAGAAGAATGTTGGCTTTTCATTTTTCCTATCAGGGTCACTGTATCTTGCTCCCTTTGACACTGAGAAGGGAATGGTTAAGCAACAGATCTGCAAACCATACTCTCTCCTCGAGGGGGCAGGGGATGCATGTTGAGTGGAGGTGCCTTTCCCAGAAATAAAGAAGTTCACCAGATCAAATCTTGTAAACACGTTAATGACAGACCTCTTGACAAATAACCTAATGGTACTTGCTAGCAAGAGAGGACTTATCTAGGAAATGCTTTTAATAGGATAAATCTGGTCTGTCTAGGGCTTCTTATGGTAAACAATCCTAGAATCTGTGGCTTTAGAGGCATAGCTCTCTGGAAGGTGTCACATAAGCTATGCAACTATCTAAGTAAAAAGGGAATATCTTTCATGACCAATTGGCTCTCTTCAGGGCAAGTGATACAATGTGACATACATAATTTACAGACCTTGTAGATCAACCTGGCCGCAGCACATCCTGGCTGCAAGAAAGGGCTTGGAGCTGCACTGGTGGTCCTGGCCCTTTCCTGTGTCACCTCTGTCTTGGAATTACTTGTATCCTTGAAATTTTTAGTCAAGCTTTATACTTGGTAAGATATCTAATTAGTGAGGGTTTGATCGAAAAATCCAATCCTTGGATACATTCCCCTAGGAATAAGGGAGCTTTGAGTGTACAAAGAAGAAGTGCACCCCCTAGAGCACATGTTTGAGAGGGAGAAGTGATCAGTGCTCAGCTTTGCCCTTGGCTCCAGTCAGTATAACGTCACCCTTGTTCAGAAAGTGGTATTTACTTCTGCCAACCTAAAGTTCTCAGATTCTCCCACCCCTTTCCTTATTTTAACCTTCCCAATCTTATTTTCATATATCATCAAAGAAAATCCTGAGGCAAAACATAAGAGAAAAAACAAGAAATATGCTTCAATTTGTGACAGAAAACATGAATTAGTTTAATCCCCCCCTGCCCAAAACAATTTAGCAAGTCTACCAATCTACCAGCTGGGCCAATAAATTTTCCCTGATCCTTGCTATACTTTATGATAAGGAGAAGGCTCCACATTTAATTTAGGATCCTTTTGTAAAGCCACAGCAGATTTACATGAAGAATATTGAGCACTCTGACGTAAAGTTTCTACTTTCACGCCATACCTAAAGTGATGAACCCAGAGGATACTGACAATTAAATATACATGTATTTGAAATAAAACTGACTTTATGAAAATAAATCCCATATTATTTATAGTAAAAGCTCAGCAAACTGTTTTTCTCTTACTCAGCAGGCACTGTGCCACCAGAACATTTAAAAAAGACCAAAACTATCTTCTTCTTTTTTTTGAGACAGAGTCTCGCTCTATCACCCAGGCTGGAGTGCAGTGGTGCAATCTCAGCTCACTGCAACCTCCGCCTCCTGGGTTCAAGCAATTCTCCTGTCTCAGCCTCCCAAGTAGCTGGGACTACAGGTGCACGCCACCACGACTGGGCAATTTTTATATTTTCAGTAGAGACGGAGTTTCACCATATTGGTCAGGCTGGTCTCAAACTCCTGACCTCAAGTGATCCACCTGCCTTGGACACCCAAAGTGCTGGGATTATAGGTGTGAGCCACTGTGCCCAGCCTATTTTCTTAAAAAAATAAAAATAATTTGATGACTTCCTCACAATCAAATTCCTGCCACTTTATTTTTCCACTTCTTAGCTACCTCTATAGGCAATTCTTCCTAAAACACTCAATTCCCGAACAAAGGTCCAGAGCCCACTCCTTCGACTGCCCACAGCAAAACACAAGCCTATTCCATCCTCAACTTCTCTCCCTTGTCTATGCCACATAATTCATCCTAGGGGGCTTACACCTTACAGGGTTAAAGGGAGAGGTAAAAAGCTATATTTCTTTTAGAACTGCATCTTAGTTGATTTAAGACACTGGCAGTGTGGATAGTTGAGTCAGCATTGGTTTGTCTTTCTTTCCTTTTGTTTTTCCTTTTTAAATTCACAACCCCACCAATTCCTGAACAACCTTTGGGTGGGATACATACATTCAAAACCATAAAAATCAATTTTTTTAAGTCTGTTAGCACAAGAAAAATAATTTCATTTTTTATTTTATTCATTTATTTTTTTTGAGACGGAGTCTCACCCTGTTGCCCAGGGTGTAGTGCAGTGGCATGATATTGGCTCACTGCAGCCTCTGCCTCCGAGGCTCAAGCAATTCTCATGCCTCAGCCTCCTGAGTAGCTGGGATTACAGGCACACACCACCATGCCCAGCTAATTTTTTGTAGAGACGGGGTTTCGCCATGTTGGCCAGGCTGGTCTTGAACTCTTGACCTCAAGCAATCCATCTGCCTTGGCCTCCCAAAGTGCTGGGATTACAGGCATGAGCCACCATGCCCGACCATGAAAAATAATTTTAAAAGGCCAAGCATCAAGTGGGATAGGAAAGAAGAAGATAATTACACACAAAATCTGGGCTAAGGGATTCTACTGTAAGCAACCACAAAATTCAATGCTAACTTTCTAATAGCCACACGTAAAGAATGGCCTATGCAGCTGTCATCTAAAGATAGAACGTATACCCATTTCTCAGGAGAGAGGATTCCCTACACCCCTGTCCTGAGATCTCACAAGAATTTATTATGTCTTCATATAAGAAATTTCAAAAAACAAAGAAGGGAAAGCAGTTCTGTCAGGACAGCTGGGGTGGCTGCACACTCTTTTCTCACACTAGTCCTCAGGAAAGGCCGAGGGTGTGATGTCCAGTTGTAACACTTTAAGCCATTTCTGCAGGGTTGGTTGGCTGGAGCACTGGAAGCAGATGTCTGTAGCCTCTTCTTGGAGATGAGGAAGGAGAAGAATTGCAGGGATGAGGCTGAAGGGAAATGATGTGGCACGGCCCCACTCTGACTCAGAGGACAGAAAACCCTACCAGGGCACAGCCTCCTGCACCTTCACTGCACTGCTGCCCTCACGCCTCTCATAGTGCTAAGCCAGGGAGATTCCATGGGCTGGGAATGGTGGACTCACTCCAGTGTGACTAGAATGGCAGATTTAAAATTAGACTGGTTTTCAGGTTCAGTGAAATGAGATTATGCAAGTTTTTGCAGACATCTCTAAACATGAGCTGAATTACATCAGATTTTCTCTGAAATTACACAATGTACTTATAACATGTCCCCTACTATCCCTTTATCTTTGCATTAAAGGAGCAACCAGCAGGATATTTCAAATGAGGGAAAACTCTACCCCTAAACTTTAGGTATTAATATAGATGGGGGTTATTTAACTACTTGTGTCAATTCCCCAGGCTTTCTGTGGAAATGACATTATTTTCAATGTATCAATGCATTCTTATATGACAAGGATGAACCCAAATTACTTAGTGTTTTGCATATTTGGTTATTTAACTTTTAAAGATAAGATTTTGAAGGAAAATCCAAATCTCTTGGTTGGCTCCAGAAGAACCCCTAACATGCGAGAACCTACAGATATAAGAATACCCTTGTGTTTTAATATGTACCCTTTGACTATTTTCCCTCAAAATCCTCATCGTCTTGACAAACACAGACAATGGTAGGTGCCACCCTGGCCTCGACTACCCATGTAAACTGGCACTGCCCTTAGGACTCTGACCTTTTATTTATTTATTAATTATTATTCTTATTTTTTTGAGACTGTGTCTCACTCTGTCACCCAGGCTGCAGTTCAGTGACACGATCTCGGATCACTGCAACCTCCGCCTCCTGGGTTCAAGTGATTCTCTTGCCTCAGCCTCCCGAGTAATTGGGATTACAGGTGCACACCACCATGCCTGGCTAATTTTTTGTATTTTTAGTAGAGATGGAGTTTTGCCATGTTGGCCAGGCTGGTCTCAAACTCCTGGCCCCAAATGATCTGCCCATCTCAGCCTCCCAAAGTGCTGGGATTATAGGCATGAGCCACTGTGCCTGGCAAGACTCTGCCTCTTGATTTCATCAAAAGCAGGGGCTACCAGGAGGAATCTGCTTCTGTAAGGAGGGACAAGAAAGCCTCTAGGAGCCAGTCAGTGCCTGAGAAGGCAATTGCTAAAAGCTGTGCAGTGGTAGGTAGATGAGAAAATAGTCACAACTTATTCCTGCTCCCTTTTCTCCCCCTTCTGCCTTAAAATAGGCATCTGGATTTCCATGGGATAGGACAGCGATGCCAGTGTGGGCTGAAGTTCTGCCCTAGGTAGAAGAAAGGTCTTCAGGTGGAAGCATTCCTATCCTTAGGGGCCAAAGCTGGGACTCCCTTGCCCCAGGCAGTAGGCAGTGGAGGGGGATGTAGAGGGGAGGGGAGGTACCTTCAGGAGCAGTTGATATTTGGTGATCCTTTGGACAGGCTTAATTAGGTAGGAAGAGATGGAGTTGGCCAGACCATGCCGCTGTTGTATCTCCTGCAGGGATGAGAACAATGTGCAATTAGACACAGAGGGGTGTGTGCATGTGTGTGAACTCTGAGAGGAGAAAGGCAGGGGTCAGAAGAGAGGAAGAAAGAGAAAAAGGTAGACAAGTATGAGAACATGTTCTTTCATAGGGAGAGGGGAGTAAAAAGAGAAACAAAAGAGACCAAGATGCATATAGAGAAAATAGGAGAGAGAGTAAAAAGGGAGAAGGATTAGGGAAAGAAGCAAGTGTGTGAAACAAATAGAAATTGAGCAAAAATGGAGAAAAAGAACAGTAGAAAAGAGAGCAATAAGGTAAATAACAGAGCGGAGGGTAAGGAGAGATGAAGTAGGAGTAAAAGGAAATCAGTTCCAAAAAGGGGAGATGAGAGTACAGGGAAGGCAGAGAATGAGGCTCTGACATCTATTCTGATGGCTCCTGAGGAGTGTTTCCCTGCCTTCAGTCTCCTTAAAATAGCACAAGGATATATCTCCTTTATTAATACCATCCTTCTCTTTAAATTTAACACATCCCAACTTAGGGTCATCACTTTATTTCTTATAAATGTTCATTGTGATAAATAGCACCTCCTTCATTCTTCAGGTCTCCTAAGCTAGAAACCATGGAGTCAATTTTAGTCATTTCTCCTCTGTTATCCCTGGTGACAAATCTTTCCTTTCCATTTCCAGGGACATCACCCTCATCACTCATGCCCAGGCTAGGGCCGTGGCCTCCAACTGCTGTTTGTGCTTCTAGTCTCTCCTTTTAATCTACTCTCTATCCTACCTCCAAAATGATCTTCTACTCCCCAAAGTCTAGGGGTTCTAAGGGTCAGAGAAAGGTATATTTTTCTCCCTCCCCTCAAAAAGCTTACAGTCTAGATGAGAATACTCAACGCACATGAACTAGAGATCAACAAAAGACAATAGAGGAAATGGTATAGCCAATAAAAATTGAGAGATTACTGGGGTTGGGAGTGGCCGGGTGGTTAGTAGAGATAAGGCCTCAACCTCACCTGGGGCTAAGAGGTGAGGTGGGCAGTGGGGGTGGGTTAAGTAAAAGGTTGGAGGAATGACACTCACTTACATCAAACACAAAACTGTATCGGCTGAAATAATCATTGTGTGTTTAGATGATGATGAGGACCATGACTGAATGGTACAGAGGATGCACACCCACCTTCTATAAGAAGTGAAAAATACAGTTAGATATGCAAGGTTGGGTCATTGATGGGTTTGAGTTAGAAAAGAGTTAGGATATGATGGTAAGTTTTTCAATGGTAAAGCATCACAGATCTTAAACAGAAAAAACAGGCGGGGCATGGTGGCTCACGCCTGTAATCCCAGCACTTTGGGAGGCCGAGGCGGGAGGATCACTTGTATCCAGTAGTTCAAGACCAGCCGGGGCAACATGGCCAGATCCCATCTCTACAAAAAATACAAAAATTAGCTGGGTATGGTGGCACGTGCCTGTAGTCCCAGCTACTTGGGAGGCTGAGGTGGGAGGATTACTTGAGCCCAGAAGGTCAAGGCTGCAGTGAGCTATGATCACACCACTGCACTCAACCTGGATGACAGAGAGAGACCCTGTCTCAAAACAAACAAATAAACAAACAAACAACAAAAAAGAGAAAAAAACACATGATGAAAGTAATGTTTCAGAAAGAGTAATATATATACCTAACAGCAACATGGGGGTAAATCTTGGAGAAATAGAGACAGAAAGACAAGTTATGAGGCTATTGCAAAAGCCCAGGTGTATAGATATGAAGTTACCACACGATCCAGCAATTCAAGTTCTAGGTATATACTCAAGAGAAATAAAAAATATATATCTATGCATGAAAAACCCAAACATCCATGAATTGATAAATGGAAAAACAAAATGTAGAATATTCATACAATGAAATATTATTTGGACATAAAAAGAAATGAAGTTCTGATGCATGCAACAACACAGATGAACTCTGAAAACATTATGCTAAGTGAAAGAAACCAGTCACAAAAGACCATGTATTATGACTCAATTTTATGAAATGTCCAGGCAAGGCAGATCTATCTGTAGAGACATAAAGTAGATCATTGGTTGCTTGTGGGTTGGGGTTTGTGGTGGAGAGCTGGGGGGTGATGGCTAAAGGATACAGGGTTGCTTTGTGAGGTGATAAAAGTGCCCTAAAATTGACTGAAGGGATGGTTGCACATACCTGTCAGCGCACACACAAAAACACTGAATTCATACTTTAAATGGGAAAAATGTATGATCTCTGAAATCATCTCTCAATAAAGCTGTTATTTTAAAGTAGGTCCAGGTATGCAATGTAGGGGCATGCCCTAAGCTAGAATTAGTGAGAATAAAGCATTGGGAAGAATAAAAGAAATATTTTAAAGATGGACTAGATAGGACTTGTTATGGGGCTATGAAGAAGGGTGGAGGAGAGATAATAATAATTTAAAAAATTATTCCAATGCCTATCAGAAATGATTTCTATCCCAGAAAGTAGCAATTTTGTCACCATTTGCCTCTTTCCCAGAGGTGTGTACTTGCAAGACTTGTTTGAGGATGATGGGCAAAACAGATGCAGCTTGACTCTCTTCAGGCAACTGAACCTTGTGAGTTTATCTGGGAGCTTTGGCAAGAAAGCACAAGCAACAGTGCACCTTTGGCACTCTTTCCTCTCTGATGAAAAGCCCAGCTTAAGGAAAGCTGCATGTGGAGCAGAGAGGGAGGGGCCTACATCAGTCAAACCAAGCTTAGACATCACACCCATGCTGTGTGATGGGTCAAACATTCTGGATCGGCCGGGCGCGGTGGCTCACGCCTGTAGTCCCAGCACTTTGGGAGGCCGAGGCGGGTAGATCACGAGGTCAGGAGATCGAGACCATCCTGGCTAACACGGTGAAACCCTGTCTCTACTAGAAATACAAAAAATTAGCCAGGCGTGGTGGTGGGTGCCTGTAGTCCCAGCTACTCGGGAGGCTGAGGAGGGAGAATGGCGTGAACCCAGGAGGCGGAGCTTGCAGTGAGCCGAGATCGCGCCACTGCACTCCAGTCTGGGCAACAGAGCGAGACTCCGTCTCAAAAAAAAAAAAAAAAAAAAAAAAATTCTGGATCGTGTGAATGTGTAAGCCTTTCTAGGACTTTAATTCTCTGTGTTCTCTTTACAGTAATGGATATTAGGTGACTGCCTTTATTAAGGGTTTATCTCATTTATAGAATGAGGGCCTAAAGCAAATGGTTCCTAAGTGTAGAACTTAGGGAAACTCTTCTGATGGAATGAAAGTAAGCCACAAAGATTATGCCTTTTGGAAAGTTTTGAAAGCAATAGAATGAGGGCCTAAAGCAGATGGTTCCTAAGTGTAGAAGTTAGGGAAACTCTTCTGATGGAATGAAAATAAGCTGCAAAGATTATGCCTTTTGGAAAGTTTTGAAAGCAATCCGGAGAGTTTACTGTCTTCTGTCCCCGCTTCCAGGGCAGACTTTAAGAACTCCTACTGGACTGGTTTTGTGGCTTCCATCAGTCTTTCCAACTAATGTAGAAGCTCACTAGGCACTATGTTGGAAACGGGGTATAGGGTGGGAAATTTGGGGATATATCTGACTTATCAAAGCCTAGAAATTGGCTAGAAATGGGGATGCGAGGTATGTAGTACTAAGGGAAAATACATTCTGGTGCCAGGCACTGAGATGTGACAAATATGAATCAGGCATAAGATCTCAAGGAGCTCACAGGTGGAGGGAGATGTGAGTAACAGAAAGGTGCATTGTTCACCTGCCAAAAGGCAAATCATTACAAATGCTATAACAAAGATACAAAGTACAAAGGAAAGGATTCATGCAGGAAGCAGCATGTGACCTTTAATGGATAGGAAGAATTTTGAAGAGAGAGACAGAAGGGTGTGTGTGTTTGTGTGTTTGTGTTGTGTGGAGAGGACACAATCTATCCTAGGCAGAGAGAGCGGTGTGAGCAAAGACAGGAAGCAGAAGAGTTTGAGACATGCTCAGAGCACAGGACATGTATGTCAGAAAAGTGCTAAGTGGAAGACAGGACACAATGCATTTAAAACTTCAAAAAGACCCTTCTGGATATTGTTCATGAATAATCAACAGAAGCATCCTAAGGGAAAAAGATTCTCACTCAGAGGTAATGGTGGCAGAGGGCATCCAATATGATACCCAATAATATCAGGTGAGAGGAGCACTTTTCTTGGGTTCTTCTGTGGTTCCAAATCTAACCCCAGGTATTCTAGTGTGGGATACATAGAGCCATTTCCATATTAATGCTCCATTAAAAAAATCATGTGCATTTTTCCTCATCTGGCTTCCTTCCATTCAAGTGTCATTTCTTTACTGAGCAACAAGACATTTGTAGGATCATTTCTGTTGAGGCAGTGCCAGGCTAGAAAGATGCTCAGGGAAGGTTTCTTTTGCACACTTGAGTACAAGGACCATGTTTAAATGTCTTTATATTCTCCACGGGGCCTAGCCCACTATCTTGCATAAAGTAGACATCCAAATATTTATGAAAAAAATGAAAACAGGTAGGCATATAGACAGATAACCTTTAAAAAGGGCTGAGTTTCTAGTTTCTGTCACTTCTGATATGACTGCCAAAATAGCCATCACTGCTATAGTCTGCCTCTCACTAAATTTTCTTTTTCCCCAATTTCATCTTTCCCTCTTATTCATCCTTTGAATCCTGCAGGGACCCCTTTGATTTTGCTTACTGTAAAGCCAATAGGTCACTTTTGGCTTTATAGATCCCACCATTTGCCAACAGGATTGTGTCATAATTCCAAACCAAAGGATCTGACAAGGCACATCAGCCTCACTCTTCTCCTGGCTTCTATTATAGCAGAGGTGTTCAGCCCTGGCTGCACATCACTCTCACCAGAAACTTTAAAATATCCCAATGCTCAGGCCACAGTCAGGCCAATCATAGCAGAACCTCAGGCATGGGATTCAGATATCAGTTTTTTTTTTCCAAAAAAGGTTGAATCAATTGCATTAGAGAAGTGATTCTCAAACTTGAGTGGAGTTCAGTTACCCAGAGGCCTCCTTAAAACTCAGGTTGTTGGGCTCCCCGCAAGAGATTCTGATTTAATAGATGTGGACTGAGGTCCAAGGATCACACTTTCGGAAACACTACATTTGTGAGAGCTGTATATGAAGCAGAAGTGAAATATATTAATCAACAACTGCATCATAGTGGCCCTCCTCTAAACATGTGCTTTATGACTTCCTAGGTTTGGTGTGGAGGCATGGAGACAAATTTGCCTCGTACAAAATCACTTTGGTCAAGATAGGATGAGATAAAACAAAATACAGACATATACTGTTTTTGCTTTTTTTCCATGCTTAAGGTTTGCAGTGGCCAGTAAAGAAAAATTAGGAAAAAAGGATAGCTAAATATCCATCCATTATGCCAAAGCAGAGAAGCATTTCCACCTGCTCATCAGCTGCTCAAGAATGGAAAACACAGCTTACATCAAAGAAGGTGCCCGCATGCTCCAGGATAAGCTGGTTGGAATCAGGCTTGTTTTTACAGTAGGTGACATACATCTGAAATTTGTCTGCCTAAAAAGAACAAAGATAATAATAGATAAGCATTCATTAGTTGTTCCCTTCTGTCCACCATGCTGAAGGACCCAGCAAGGGCTGTACAGTTAAGACCCTCAGACACCAGTGTCTAGATTTTCTATGGCAAATGTTCTATGCTCATCCAGCCCCCATGGTCCCCTAACGGACATTGGGATGTCTTTCTCCTGTCAGCACGTGGAGAAAGCTTCTGAAACTGAGCTCCTTTTAATAATAGTTTGTGCTGGAAAGAATCAGAAAAAGCAACTCATATATCCTGATATATTCTGAAGTTGGACAGAACTTATTTACAGATTTTACCCTTTTTTGGATTATCTACAATTGTGCTCCCCATCTTGAAAAAGGACAGCATTTGCTCTGAATACAAAAACAAATAATGAAGATGAAGTATTATCTCAGAGGTAGATCTGCTTGTACTCTAAATGTCTCCATTGGAGAAAGGTTGAGGGGCATGGCAAGGGACTATGCCATCCCCAACTTCCCAGAGCAATCATGGGGAAAAAGAAAGCAGAGTGACCCCCTGGGGCAGAGGCTAAACAATGGTTCCTAACTAGATTGTTGCTTCAAGCCAAGAACCTTACGGCTGGGTGAAAATTCAAGACTCTGAAGACTCTCTGGGTTAGCGTTACTGGGAAAGGTATGTGTATTTTGGCCACCAAATACTTTTCTTATTTGGTGAAATGCTACCCATCTCAGTGCCTTTGGAACTTTGTGTTGGCATCCTCTTCTGAGACAGCAGCCCAAATATGTGTTTATTACAGCAGGTTTCATTTATGCTAGCATTGTTCTAAGAGCTTTACATGTATTAACTCATTTGGTCCTCATGAGACCTCTATACAGTGAGTTCTGTTATCATCCCCAGTTTGCAGATGAGAGAACTGTGGCACAGATTGGTTAAGTGACTTTGAATTCCCACAGGGCTCTGCTACCTGTGGGAATTCAAAGTCACTTAACTAAGCAGAGATCTGACTTTAGGCTTCCTGGTCTTGACCACTGCCTTTCAATACATAACAAACAACTTCTTCTACCCTTCATTTCTGCATTACACTCATATATTAAGATTATGAGACTTAAGAAAGTCACCTTGGGATAATTCTTGGCAAAAGATGAATATTTTATCCAATCAAAAAATTTTCTGAAACCAGTTTTTGGAACTATGTACTACCTAGGAGATGATGATAAATCATTCTTATGACTGATTGTAAAGGAAATCCACAAATTTCATGAAAGAAGATGCAAAAAAAAAACCCTTTACTTAATGGTCAATCTTGTCATTCTCTATGTTTGCTGTGCAAGGGATCATAAATTATTTATCAGCATTAATATGAGCTTTGTATTGGCTCATATATTTAGGGGTAGAAAATGTATTAGAACAAAATAAGATGGTAGCTAAGACTTTCTGAAGAAACAAGAGTGCTTGGAAGCAAATATTAAGATTTCATGAAAAAAAGCTTATCTGAGAATCAGGTCTTGAGTTGTGGGACTGGCTGTGATATTTATTACATGTCAGTGAACTAGTCAACCTCCTATCTTATCTGAAATTTTCCCATGTTTAAAATCTAAAACATAAACATAGTGTTGTCTATCACATAGGGCTGTTGAGAACATAAACTCTCTGAATCATGAAGACACTTTGAAAGGCAATTAGCCCCTTATGGGTGGAAGTTATTATCAGGTAATTATTAAATAGTAGAACGCTTGACCCTGGGGGAGGATTTCCATGTTTGCACTCAGTGTCCTAAGTGGACTTCCCTGGAGATGTTTGCATTCATATATTGTACATGAGCCTGAGTTCAGAATAATGCGGAGTAGAGAGCCAATGAAGACTAACGTTTCAGTTTATATAATTAGAATCTGGTACATTCAGCCCCTTTACTTGGCCCATGATAACAGCATGAAGGAGGATGAACAGTCACTCATCTTGTGGGTCAGATTGGGATGGATACCCAAAAAATCTGTTTTTCCCTATTAAAGAAGAAAATGTAACCAATTGTTAGGTGGAACTCAAAGGATACATGCTTGAGGAGATGGACACCCCACCCATTCTCCATGATGTGCTTATTTCACACTGCATGCCTGTATCAAAATATTTTGTCTCCCCCATAAATATATACACCTACCATGTATCCACAAAATTAAAGATAAAAAATTTTTTTTAAATGGTTAGGTGGCTTCCTAAAGTTCTAATTCCCTAATCCATATCCTGTAACAATAGCTAATGGACTGAGCTGACACATTTCCTCTGCCAGGGGTGGTAGTCTTGTTCCACTCTTCCAACCTCACAATTTTAGAAAGTTCTTAGACAGCTTAAGATGGAGCTTAATCTTGATGTCTAAGAACTTTTCCCAAGGCTTCTCTCAGACCTACTCATGGTCCCTCTCAGTAGCCCCTGGTCTTGTGTGAGACTGGCAATGACTCCAGTCCTTAGGTCAGGCACTGAAGAGTGGTGCCATGTGTATGGGCAGTGGGAGAAGGATTTCAGGTTGGTTACCCAGGTAACAAAGCAGTGTCCCACATCCTCAGGCAGTTGCTCGTACTTCTCCAGCTCTTTGAGGAAGATGCTGCAAGAGGAGAAAAAGACTGAATCAGACACCTCTGTGCAGCTGACCCCCCAGAGGATTGCACTGAGGCCAGCACAACCATAACTTCTCAATTATTTATACATGGCTTCTCTACTGTCTAAGTGATAGATGGTGAGGTGCAGTTTTTAATGTCGGAACTAATTTCATTAAAATGTATGTTAATTGATTAATTAGTGCTACTTAAAATAATATTCTTTCTCTCGGAGTGAACACTTCTAGAAGTGAAAGTAAATAATAAAATATTTTGTTTGTGTTGGACTTTTTATCAGCAAGTAAGAATCTACTTTTTTACACAAGTAATCTAAGCACATCATAAATATTTTAAATAATATAGATATTTCAAAGAAACAAAATAAAATATCGCTATCCTAGAGATAAAGTAGAAAAAAATTCAGCCTACACTGGCCTCTTTCTAATTTTTGGCCTCTGTCTTCCACCAGTAGCCAATTTGTACTAAAAACTATGTATTAAACAATGTTTTATAATACAGACACCATTAGGAAAGAAAACTTAATGGGTAAAAATTCACAATATATTCCAAAGCTGAATTGAATTACAACTGTTATCCACCAGTGTGGATATCTGTGCCATGGCTCCTTTCCACGTTAATAAATAATAAAGAAATAATTACACTGACTTCAAAATAATGTATTAAATCATTGGTTTGGGTTCATAGGATATAAATTCTAACAAGCCAGCATGCTTTATTAGGATGGTATTTGCTGTAAAAAACAAAATATTTTTCAAATAAAAAGTGATTATGAGGCTTTGGGGACACATAGTGACAGAAGTGGAAATGCTACGATCTTTACAAGGAACAATTTGACAGTACCGATTAAATCATGAATGCGCTTATCTTTTGACTCTGCAATTTGAATTCTGTAAATTTTCCTGTAGCTATTTCTACACATATAAAATGATGTATATACATGAGTATTAACTGTGACACTGTTTATACAAGCAAAAGATGGTCTGTAAAGAACAAAGCGTTTAAACTATGGTACATCCACAGAGCTATATACTATGCAGCTATGAAAAGAAGACACAGCTCTCTATGTTTTCATATGGAAGAACTCTGGGAGAAGCTAAGTGGAAAAAGGTACAGAAGAATATGTAGAACATGCAACTTTTTGTCTCAGTAGGAATTACGTATTCTTATTTCCAACCCAAAAAACTAAGAAAAGACATTACCACAGGGAAGCAGGTGAAGGAACAGAATAGAGGACAGTGGTGGGTGACACTTCTCAATGTTTACTTTTCTATCTAATTTTGATTTTAAAACTGTGACAATACATTACCTTCAAAAATTGAATTAAAGGATACACGATATAAAGTGGTTCTGCATTACTCTACTACTTACCTGTACCATAGAGGGAAAAATGTTATTTGACTAACTTTACCTAGCTTCTATTGTCCACGCATTTTGGCAGTATAATTAATTACAAGTGGTTATGGATTTCACATATGTGTTGTATGTGTTCCTCCTTCCGTGACATAGAATGACATTGTTTGGAGCTTAAAAATATGTATGTGCAATTAAAGATGTTTGGCAAGTCCTATTTGGAAAGCCAAAATGCTAACAATAATTGATGGGATAATAGATGACTTCTTTGTCCATCTGCAATTTAATTTTTTCTACGACAAATGAGCATTGCTTTAGCGATAAGCAAAAAGCCATTTAAAAAAAATCTGGGAGACTCCTAGCTGTACCCAGTTTGTCCTTACATAGGTGATTTTAGAGTATTCTGACCTGAATCAAAGAGTAATTATAATGATATTTGGGCTTCAGAAATGCAAATATGTAGTGCTCAAAGTCAATAAAGTGTCATATTTGTTGCTACCTTTTAAAGAACTACAAGTGACACATTTAAACTAATATGTACTTTATATGACCATTAAAGTGCAAATTTTAAAAAGTGCTATATAATGTTATAATTGAGGATCAAACTTAGTTTAAGACCCAAAGGGAAATATACTTTTCTGTTGAGAAAAGAATCAATCTGCCTCATCATCATATATATACACACACACAGGTACACACACACACACACACACACACACACACATATACACACACACATTTTAATTTAAAATTAAAAACAATTTTTTATAATAATAGAGACGAGGTCTTGCCATGTTGCCCAGGCTGGTCTCAAACTCCTGTGCTCAAGCAGTCCTCTTGCCTTGGCCTCTCAAAGTGCTGGGATTACAGGCATGAGCCACCGTGCCCAGCCTGGGCCCTTCTCCCTTAAGAGTAGCCAAAGAAATGGTAAAACAGCCTGGATCAGGACATTCCACACAGGATAAAAAATTGTTTTATTGTGTCAGAAGTGGCAAGGATACCCATGATGACTCAGGGAGAGCCATTCCTTGACTTATGACCCAAGGATAATTGGCCTGGTCACTTTAATTTGAAGTAAACAATGATAATTATGTCTAAAGAATTGATCATTGATAGAAAGACAGTGCTGGCAATTTTATTTAAAATCTGATCAATTTCAATAGAGCAACACCCTGACTTTTGTGATAGCAGCTACCAAAAACCTATGGG
This sequence comes from Homo sapiens, assembly GCF_000001405.40. NCBI lineage: Eukaryota > Metazoa > Chordata > Mammalia > Primates > Hominidae > Homo > Homo sapiens. The sequence goes on along the minus strand of NC_000003.12, from coordinate 124,472,090 downwards.
AAGATGCACAATTTGAAAATCCTCAGGAAGCAAAAATACTATAACCAGAATTAAATGCACAGCATATAATTTTCATGAGGAATGCCTTTCTGTAAAATGAAGGTTGTTTTTTTTTTTTTTTTTTGAGACGGAGTCTCACTCTGTCACTCAGGCTGGAGTGCAGTGGCGCAGTCTCTGTTCACTGCAAGCTCTGCCTCCCAGGTTCACGCCATTCTCCTGCCTCAGCCTCCCGAGTAGCTGGGACTGCAAGCGCCCGCCACCACGCCTGGCTAATTTTTTTGTCTTTTTCTTAGTAGAGACACGGTTTCACCATGTTAGCCAGGATGGTCTTGATCTCCTGACCTCGTGATCCGCCCACCTCGGCCTCCCAAAGTGCTGGAAAATGAAGGTTTTAACAGCAGTTACCACTAGCTCACCCATCTGCCTACCCCCAGGTCTGACTTTCTTCCCCTCCCACAACTGAGCACAAGTTAAAGAATCAGCATTCACACTTGGTCACAGTTGTGAAAGGGTCTTCCAAAGCTTCATCCTCCTCATCTTTAAATAACAACTTTGCTGAGGTGGGCAGATCACCTGAGGTCAGGAGTTCAAGCTTAGCCAACATGATGAAACCCCGTCTCTATTAAAAATACAAAAAATTAGCCAGGCGTGGTGGTGGGCGCCTGTAAGCCCAGCTACTCAGGAGGCTGAGGCAGGAGAATCGCTTGAACCTGGGAGGCGGAGGGTTGCAGTGAGCTGAGATCGCGCCATTGCACTCTAGCCTGGGCAACACGAGTGAAACTCCATCTCAAATAATAATAATAATAATAATAATAATAATAATAATAATAATAAAACTTTGTGGGGGTGCTTGTAAGGATTTAATAAATCCACAGGTAAAAAGAACCCAACCCAGTGCCTGGCACACAGTAGACACTAAATAAACAGTAGTTCTTCATGATCAGTGCTTCTCAATCTTAATAAACTCATATTCTCTTTGGTAAACATGTATCTGACCCTCTTCCCCACTCCTGGAGACTTATATTTAGGGGGAACTCCCTACCAAGCCCTTGCTGAAAAATCTGCAGCAGGTTACTTTCTCCTAAACCATATCCTGGGAAAATCTTGATTGGTTATTATGTAACATTTAGATTCCAAGGTCACCTTGTTTGGGAAATGTTGGGCTAAGGTGGTTTTTTTTGCTGAAGAACTTCCAAAATCCTATAATATGTTGAGTTACACTATAAACCTCTGAAGTAAATACAATATGCAGTGCTTCTCAAACTTCTTTGTGCTTGCAGCACTTTTGGGGCGAGTATCAGACTTTGTCTCAAGGAACACTCTTGGAAAACTCTAGTTAGCGGTCCCACACCTGGTTGTACATTGCCTTCTGGGGTTACTATCTGAGCAAATGCATTGTTTAGAAATGCTTCCTGGGTAATTCCCACACATCCAGTCCATAGATGAGCATTTAAAGGCAACTGTCCTAGATTCCAGGATGCTTCCAGATGGCAAATCCTACATCGGCTCTATAGGATTTAATTTAGGGGGAGAAAGCTAAGAACATTTTTTTTTTTAAAAAACCTATTCAGCTTGTGCCAGGCATACCAATTGATAAGTTTGAATAAGATATTCATTACCATCTCAATGTAAATGTTGAAAGTAAGTGGCAATATTAAACTCTGTTTTACTTCTTAATTGGAAGCTTATGAAGATGACAGATTATGTAAGTCTGATCCATATTATTCTACTTACTTCAAATAGACATGATGAATTCAAATTAAAGCAAAACAGCTCACAACTCTCTTCACAAATGATGAAACATTTCACCTTAGCTGTTCTATAGCAGCAATTTGGCCCTCACTACTCCAATAATTACATGTAATAAATTGTGAAGGAATGAGCAAAGCAAGTCATTTGTGTGAATGTCTGGGGTTCTTTCAGAAAGGAATAAAACTTTTAAAGAAATGTCAAGATCAAGGCAATGCCATTACTCTATTAAATTATTATAATTTAATATATTATGCAGTTACTTTATGAGGAAAATGCTTCCTTTTGGCTTTGTACACAATCCTGGGAAATGAAACTGCTGGCATTTATTAACAGAAAGCTTTCTGAGTTTTGTCATTAAATATGATAGAAACAGCACTATTTCAAAGGTACTGGACTGGTTCTGTTATTCTCTCTGAAGATGAATTTGGTCTAAAATCTCACTGCTTCTGGGGAAGTGTATCCTTCATTAAGGAGCGCACAATCTTGTCAGCAAACAGACTTTACATCAAGGGTGCAGTCTGCATCTAAATGGAAATAACTATTTGATGACCTTGTATGTCAATGTGCATTTGCTTGTTGGAACGCCAGAGGTGGTGATAGGGGAAGGGGCCTGTTGTGGCAACGGGAAAAAGAGGAACAACGTGGAGCATACATTTAAAAATTAAGTCGGAAATGGGGTGGGGAGAAAGGTGTGAGGTTCATGTATTTATAGGAAGTCCAGGACATTGCCTTCTTTTCAAAGCAAGGCTGGGTAACTGCCTTCATGCAAGTAGAGCTAGAGATTATTTCTAAAGAATCCATTAATGACCAGGCAGATTCAGAGCCTAGAACATAAGAGGCTCTAGACCATAGGGGCTAAGATAGCCGGTTAGCATACTGGAGCAGGTATTAAACTAATGGAGGGTCATGTACACTCAGGGAAAGGTGCTGGATTTTTCATGTAACAGTTCCAGCACAGTTGGATCACCCAGGCTGAGCCATGAGAAGCACCTGGCTTTGTCCCTTCATTTCACACTTGACACTTTAGCTCAGGTTAGGGATGAAGAGGAAAGGTCTGCAGGGCTGGACGCCCATTCAGCACATCACACTCTCAGCCTCCAACCACAAGCAGCAAAATTTACCTTGCTGCATGGTTACCTGTTGAATATGTTTTTGCCAATATCTTCTAACTTTGTCTAATTTGTGTGATCAGATGAATAAAGTTATTTGCATAGATATATACCAAGTTTAATGTTAAAATAAAATACAAAAGATTAATCTTATGCTTAATGTTACTCATCTCCAATAAGGTGGTGTTTAGCAACCAGGCATGGATGCTAAGAAGTTAGTGTGTAAAACAAAAATTAACATTACTTTGACACATCCAAACGAAGTGTTTAGACTTTGTCTTGTTTTGGGTATTCCCTAACGTCTATAATCAGCCCCAATGTTGATAGCTTACTGAAAACACAAACAACAGTAACAAGACCACAGCTACATTTGTATAGGGCTCCTCTGATGGGTTCTGCAAGTTACCTCTTCAAGTGTGCGTTTGGGGACCAAAGAAAAATCACAACAGGCCTTCCCCTTCCTCTTTCCTTAACATTTGACTATTAAGAAAATGACAGCTGGATTCTTTGGCTGTGTCACTAATTTTGGTTTGGGCAGATCATAAACCTTTGTAAGTTTCAGTTTCTATAGAGCAAGGGAGAACTAGATTATCTTTAACGATTTCTTTCGGGCTTTTATATTTGATAATTCTATGATTTTCCATACGTGAGAAACCACTAACACCAAAGGCATTTGGAGTGGGGGAAGAAGCTTAGAAAGCATAGAACATGCACATTTTAAGCAAGGGTGTGTGTGTTGGGAAGGGGTAGGAGGGGCAAAGAGGGAGGAAAAGGTAGCAGCAGCCTGACAGGGCGGCCTTTCCCCAGTGGCCTGAACTGCACATCCCTTCTCTCACCACCTGGTGGAGCTAGCGCTCTGCCGTGCAGCCATGGATCAACCCCCCCCTTGTGTTTCAAGGGGTTGTAAAATCAATTTATGGGTGGCAACCAGAATTTTAAAAAAGAGGAGGAGGAAGAAATAGAGCCTAACACAAAATACCACAGTGCATCACACATAATGCAGGTGTTTTTCAAAATTTAACTTCCCTGTTATATATAGCATATATGCATGCGTATATCAGGGCATAATGTACAGTCTTTTTCTTTGGTTCATGATAAAAATGGTTTGAAAAACACCACCTTGCTCATTCTCCCTCAACAGGATGGTAGCTCTGGGAAGGTCTAGGTCTTTATCCATCTCTTTCCCTCGATCTCCTTCTCCTCATCCCCTCCCCTTTCCCTAGGGCCTCTTTCCGCAGATGGATCTACCTACCTACCTACCTGCCTGACTACCTACCCTACCTACCTATCCACCCTCCCACCGTCATTGCCTCCCTCTGGCTCTCCTGCTTCTCTCCTTCTCTATCTCTTCCTTTCTCCTTATTATCTGTCCACTTCATGGTTTTCTCACTTATCCTCTATCCACCTAGCTCTCTCTCCTCCTTTCCTTTTGTCTCTCCCTACATTTCTGAATTGCACTATCTCTGCCCACCACCTCTCCTTTCTTTTCCTCGTCTTACAGACATGGATGTGAGAAGACCCAGCCTACCTGGGAGTGCGACAATGAGACCTCTCTCTGCTTCCCATGACCCAGGATGGAGCCCCACTCCCAAACCCCCTATTGCCTCTCTCAACCTCCCTGCTAGACTTCACCACTTTTCTCCCTTGCAGGGCCTTTGTTCAAACTTTATTCCATCATCAAGGAAGCCATCCCTGCCTGTAAAAATCCCACCCCTTATTTAAATTATATCTCAAATGCCCCCTTCTCCATGAGGCCTTTCCTACTCTCCAACTGAGGCTATTTTCTTTGTGCTCCACTTGTGCCCACCTCCACCCTTATTGCAGACAGATATGTCATTCTCAGAACCCAGAGGGCAGAGGCTGGGTTCAATCACAGGGTACCAGCTTCATCTCCAATCTAGCCACCTTTGGCCCAAGGGAGGAACTCTGGGAAGTTGACTGAAATGTGGCTGTGGTTCAGTCGCTCATTGGGGTGCCCTTCCCTAAATTCCCCAGCCTCGATTTTACCCCTGCTGCTCACCCCTCACTGCTCCTGGCTGACCCTGGCCTGGTCAGTGCTCCCAGTTCAACCTCACACATCTCTGGTCCTGCTCCTTCGGAGCAGGGAACACCAGGTTGGGAGGGCAGTGGCTGGTGGCCAAGGCCAAATCTAATAGCTTCCAGCCAAGCCTGGAGGGAGGGAGTGTGCAGAAGGGGCATCTAACCTTGGTGGTTGGTCCCTAATTTGAAAATCTAGACCTTGCTGAAAACTGATTTATTTCAGGTAATTGTTGTAGGGGTGTGGCACAAGAATGACATAGCTCTGGGAGAAATGGGTAGAAATATTCATCAAATTCTAAGATCCACATGGAAGCTGTTTCACTATGAATTAAACCAGCCAGATGTGGCAGCCACCATTGGTGGTCTAGGGAGTGAGAGAAGGGGAGAGAGTGCTGAAGTGGGAGACCAAGCCCTGGAATCTAAATCCTCACTTTTAAGGAAAGGGGAGGGGCGCACACTGGGCAAGTAACGACTCCTCTGGGATTGTCTCCTTGTCTGTACATGGAGAGGGTTGTACTTGATGGTTGAGAGGACCCTCTGAGCGCTGGGAGTAGAGATTTTATGAAAATGTTATTGCTCAGACTCACATATGACCCTATCTCCAAAAAACCAAAAAGGAAGAAGTTCAGATTTAACAGAAGGTGATGAGCATTTTAAACAAAAAGCTGTCCACAGCAAAGTTGCAAATCTAATAACAGCAAGCTGAAAACAAATTATTTTCTTGAATTACAAGTTGTATGCTAGGCAAAATGGGAAGACTGCATTAACAAAATCATTACTGTCTAGGGATCTACTAATGGAATATATTCTCCTGTCTGAGTGCTCCAGGAATGCTTATAAAATGCAATCAAAATAGGTCTAAGTCTTGTGTAGATAAGTAAATTTCATGATTATATAGTTATTTCTGTAGGAAAGAGAAGTAGTGCAAAATGGGGAGAGTGGAGGGCAAAACGAAGTATCATTCCACTTCAGTCTCCGGTTTGTGTTAAAGCCAATGTTTGCAGGTATTAAATTCTACATATTAAACTGTTCTTTAAAGAAGTTTTGGTGCTGGGGAATTTCCCCATTCAATACCTATAAAGACAAAGGTCCTTGAGACAGACAGATCACAGACACACACACACACACACACACACACACACACACACACACACAGAGCAAGAGAGAGAACTAATCCTGGTTGCAATTTTTCAAAGTGACACCATTTAGACAGATCAATACTATCTAGTTAAGATATGTATTCACCACATAACCCTTGGTCTAGGTGCTAATTTTCTAGTGACTTAGCTAATTAAGTTAGCAAGGTCGTGTCAATCTCAATCCCTTTCTCTCTCAATCTCTCAATCTCCCAATATTCCTTCCTCCTGCTCTCCCTCCCATAGGCTCTCTCTGGATTACAGGCAGATAACCTGAGCTATGCACTAGAAATGAGAGGAGCATGTTTCCGTTAGACAATGCTTAATTGCAACTTTGGAATAATACAAACAATTGGGGTTAAAAAGCATCCTTTGATTTTTTTTCATATTCAGAAGTGACAATTTCGGACAAGTATTTCTGAAGAATAAATAAGTATTAGGACAACTGCATGGTCCAGCCAGTAAGAAGCTTCCAAGAAACTCCTTCATGTAGAAATTAAGTTATTTTGCTCTTCCAGATGGTTCTTGTAGTGATGGGGAAAAAATCATACCTAATGGTTTTCTCTGTCTTGAGACTTTTACAAACAAAAGATTAAATTATGACTTGAATGGTATTAGCCATAAGTCTGCAAATAGTAATTTTATCTTCAGTTTGTTCATCCATGCATTCACCTACCAAACAAATATTTACTCAATGTTTACTTATGTGCCAGGTACCTGATTATGCAGTGAAAGATGTTCTCCCCTCTAAGCTGTCCCTTAGAGTTTACAATTCCTGCATTTTCTAAGTTGGCTAACTGCCATTCTATCTCTTATTTACTAGAGATTTTAGAGGTGTTATGTTTTCTTCATTAATCAAAATTTGTAGGACACAAGCAGAAAGCATACATTATGAGTACAGTAAAGACAGCCCACAGATCCTGTAGGAAATTAATATGAAGCTTGATTTTCTTAGATATTTCCTTAAATTGCAGATAATTAAACCATTAATTTATTTTTGGTCAATAGCTTTCTAAATGCAGTACAGTTATTTGCCTTTAGTGCGGAACATATTCATGACTCAGGGTTACTGCTAATATTAAGTATGCTATGCTGTAACACAGTGGCTGTATTGGGCCCTATGGTGGGATACAGAATGGTTTGCACCAATACTGAGTAGCCCTTGACCACTATGAGGTTTTTTTTTTTTTTTTTTTGGTTCTATTGCCTACTGTTTTTGCAGTTTGTCTTCTTTAGACAGCTGCTGGTATCCCACTACTCACTCAAGTTCTTGATTCTTGTTTGCTGTTTCTAAATAGCTGTGGGCTTACAAACTATATAATCAAGAGGTAAAGAGGTTGTTAGGGAGGATAGAAAGATGCTTCTATGAAAAGACAAGAACTTAATTTTTGTGGCATCTTCTCTGGTTGTTGAGAGGCTAGTTGTTATTTTCTTTTTCTTTCTTCATAATATTCTAACTCGATAATATGTGCTGGGTAGCTGTGTTCTTGATAGTTGGATTTATTCCTCGATTTACAGCATGCGAGATTCTCTATGGTTTAATTTGATTTTTTAAAAGGATTTCTTAGAACTATATATTGTAACTGGTAGGTAGATTTTCAGCTATTTAGAAAACTACAAAACTGTTTACCATGGTTTACCAGTGATATCATGACAGCAGAATAAGAGGCATGATTATGTTAGCTATTTTGTTACAAGTGATCAATTTGGAAATGTATATTCATTCCCCTTATAAACTGATTGGCAAATGTAGGGCTCCCAGAAAGTGCGTGCTGTGATCTCTAGGCTTCCGTAGTTAGTCAATTGGCTAAGAACATGGGGAAAGTGAGACTTGTTGAGTAAATCCCAGAGACCATAAGCCAGAAAAGTAAGGTAACACGACTTACCGTTTGCCAGTCCGATGTCTTCTCAGATATCCTGAGGGAGATGGGATGATACTGAGCTGGGCTCAGATGATGGAATTTGGGATCAATGGTCAAATAGTTTTATTGGGCTCTTATCAGTGATAAGCATGAGGACATGATATTTCTACATCTGGAAATTTCCAGACAAACCAAATGGATCGTGTTAAAATTTATGATTAAAAAAACAAAAGACTGGGAACTTATATCACATATTCCAGAAAGTCAAACAGTTATTTTTCCCCCAGAGCGTATTGCTTCAATAATCTCACAAGGTTTGCATGCCATGGGAGCTACATATATTATGTTCTCTTTAAACTGATGCCATCTGATGACATACCAGGAATTAATAACCAGGAGGTGAAGAGAGAGGAGTGACTTTCCACCCCTTATCTGGACCTATTACAGCCCAGGATCATTTTACACCCAATTCTTGCTTGCCTCTTGGTCATTCTTAGCACAGGGCTATTCTAGAGCTGAGATATCGAATATGGCAGCCACTTGCTACTTGTGGTCTATTTAAATCTGAATCTATTAAAATTAAATAAAATTGAAAATTCAGTTCCTCAGTAGCACTAGCCACATTTCAAGTGTTCATTAGCCACACATATCTAGTGCTACTGTATTGGACACTGCAGATATAGAACATTTCCATCATTGCAGAAGGTTCCATGGGACAGTGCTATTCTGGAGTCTTGCCTCAGGGTGGCTGCTACACCTGTACACATGGCCCTTCTATCTCCAGCAAACCTACACAACTCAGTAAATGCCTCTGCTAGCCTGGCACAGCACTGCTCTGCAGCAGGGTCCTGAGAGCTCTAAGACTTTATGCCCATGTTCTTCTTTGTGTCTTGAGATTCTATTTGTATTTTGGAAACACAGTTATTTCTATTGGTTGGTTATGTAACTTATCATGCCAATTTTTTTGCTGATCCTTTGTTAACCATGGAACATGCTGTTTTGTATGGTGTGGGAAAAATTCTTAAATCAAGTTGGAAACAAT